>NT_187372.1:0-40062 GCF_000001405.40 Homo sapiens
TTTTATTCATTGCCTATACTTTTATTTCTAAACTTTCTGTAACACTTTATCTTATATCCAGCATAGAATTGAGATTTGCTTTTTGATTTAATCTGACAATATTTTTTCCTCTAATAAGAGTCAAGCCCACTTACTTTTAATGATAAATTGTGTTTGGTTATATTTTGATTACAGTATATTATGCTATGATTTATATGCACATATCTGTCTTTTGCTGTCTTGTTTGTTTTTATTGCTTTTGTTTTGATGTTGTGATATTTGGAAGAGTTAAACTTTTATTCTGATGGCTACCTTATGTAATTTCATAAAATCATCTCTTTCTTTAGACAGTAGCTAATGTCTCTAAACTAAGAACAATGGTATTAGCTGTATTCTCTTTCTTGTCCTCCCTATGTGATTTTTCATCCCACAATTTGATTTAATCATATTAACTTTGTTTCCCCTGGTGCCATTAAGTATGCTTACATTTCTATAAACAATATCCTTTGACTCCCAGGCATTAAAGATGAGCAGTCAGTAAAATCATTCTGAGGAATACTTTCTCTTTCCTTTTCTTCCATTTTTCTTAGTTGTATCATTTCTATATTGCCAGAGCACCTACAGTTGCATTTCTTTCTGTCAGCTTTATCCAGCATTTGTTCTTGTATTTTATTTGAAGTTAAATATATTCCTTGCTCACTACAACACTGGGGGAAGGAAGGTTTCTGTTGTCGTCGTGCTTGTACAATTGTTTATTTAAAAACATTGGCGAAAACAAAAACTGTACGTAGATGGAATGGAGATAAGACAGAAAATGAGAGAGACTGATGATGAGTGTGCCTATTCTAGACTGGGAGGCGTGCTACACTGAGTAGTGTCTCCAAGGCTGCAGGAAAGGATGGTTGATTGTGAGCAGGTGGACTTTCCACTGGAGGAGAGAAGTCCTGCGCTCAACAACCTGTGCAGAACCAGAAACTGGTAATGCTTCAAATCAACTTACAGACCTGGAGGTAGAAATTTAAGAAAACTCGTTTAGCACATAGTTTCCTAGAAAATATTAGCTACTATTTGCTGAGCATCTGTCAGGTCTGTCTGTAGTATGGAAGATCTGAGTACAGGGGAAACTGGATTAGTAACAGTGGGTCAGAAAATTATATAATATTCAACCAAAATTCCTGCTTTACATACACAGCACCTGGTATTTCCAGAACTAGAAGGTAAAGAAATTATTTGTGCTTGAACTTGCAGAAAACTGCCTTTTCCCTTCTTCTCTTGCATCTTAACCTGGAGCTTCCCTTTTCTTGAGCCTCAGTGTGCTTCCCAACTCAATTTATAATTGACTTCCTGCAGTTTCTCCTTAGGACAGGGCTTTGTTTTGGGGGTGGTTAATTTGTAGGGTTCATAGGAAACAGACCACTCACAGCACTGCTTTTTGCCACCCTCACTCTCAGCTATGAGTTGAGGCCCAGGAAGCCTTCTGCCAGCCTCAGCTGCTGTTCTCAGATTAATCTGCTGAGTTCTTTTTGCCTAGTAAGAATCTCTGAATTTAGGAACATAGATGTTAGCGCTTGTATTTCTAGGTTTTCCAGTTCCCAGGGCCATTAAACATTTTTTTCCTTTCCTTTCCTTCTTCCAAAAAAATTGGTGATTCCCCTGGGTCCCTGTGGTTTAACCTCACAAAACGTCCATGATGACACCCTGTTACATTGTTTTGTCGTAGTTAATACCTTGTTATCCCAGTTGCTCAGTCAGTTTTTGTGAGAGATTCAGGGATCTTAATAAAACTGTGCTGCTACTGCTACTAACATCTTGCATAAAAGCCCGATTAATTAAAATGTTTATTTTGCATGTGATTTGAACTTGTAATTTTTATTCAAAGTTTTTCAACAGAGATCCAGAAAAGACCCTCCTTATATTTTTAGTTTTGTGCATTGCAACACTTTTTAGTGAAAAAAAAATGAGAACAACACAAGTGATTTTAAAAGAATAAACCTACAATCCATTAATTATAAAATGAAATACTATGCAGGTGTTAAGAATGAGGGAATCAATAAGAACTTGTGTGGGGTAACTATAAACTTTTAAAAAATAAATTTAATGCTCATGTGACCATATTATCGTTAAAAAAATACAAGCATACTTGCACACACCTTCAAGCAAAATGGGTACACGCATTTAAAAATATTTAAATTAAGTAAATGGCCCAATAATTTAACTTCGTACAATTCTATGTTCTCTGATTATTTTATATGCCAGAAACAGGCATTACTGTTTTGTTTATTTCATTTGAAATAATTGTAGTCACATGAGGTTTAAGTTATAATACAGAGAGGTCACATATGCCTATTTTCTAATTGGTATCTTATTACTATTGAGTTTTGAGAATTTTTTACATATGCTAGATGTAAGTTCTTTGTCAGATATATGGTATGAAATTATTTCTCCCAGTCTGTAATTCATTTTTTCAACCTCTTTACAGGGTCTTTCTAAGTAAAAAAAAAAAAAAAAAAAAAAAAAGTGTTTATTTATTCTAATGAAGTCCAGTTTTATCACTTTTTCCTTTTGTAGATTTTGTTTTTAATATCAAGCCTAAAAATTCTTTGCCTAGCCCAAGGTCTCAAGAGTTTTCTTCTATTGTAAAAAGTTTAGTGAACTTATTTATTTATTAATTATTTTTGAGACGAGGTTTCGCCCAAGCTGTAGTGCAGTGGTGCCATCATTGCTCACTGCAGCCACTAACTGCTGGATTGAAGTGATGCTTCCACCTCAGCCACTTGAGTAGTAGCTGGGATTACAGGCACGAGCTACCATGCACAACTTTAAGTTTTATAATATTACATTTTACATTTAAGCCTGTGATTTATGTGAGCTAAATTTTATATAAAGTATAAATTTAGGTCAGTCTTAGTTTTTGTACCTGTGAATGTCCAATTGCTGTAGCACCATTTGTTGAAAAAGATATCCTTCCTTTAAACTGATTTTGCATCCTTGTTAAAAAAAAAATCAGTTGAATATAGTGTGGTCTGTCAGCTTTTAATAAGATAAAAACATTGACACTCACCAGATATCGAAGTTTAGAAATTTTTTTAAAGCTAAACTTCTGAAAATAGAATAAAAACACCTTCACATGTCAAATTAGTCAATTTCTATAGGACTAATTCATTTAAATATATTAAAATACAAAATAATTCAAACTACTAAAGTGATAATACAAGACTACAAATTTAAAGGCTAATTATTAAGTCAAATTGCTGTATTCTACGTGTTAGAGTGAGTTCAAAAGATCCATTGTATTACTGAATAGGCAAAAGTTTTAATTACAGAGGATGAAACTGATATATTACTGCCACCTTGTGGATATTCTGTTATTACAGGCTATTATAAAAAGCAATGAGGGTATGTAATCTGTTCTAAGAAGAAGCATTTCCTTTTTTTGAGGTTTTTATTATTGTTATTATTACATTTTAAGTTCTGAGATACATGTACAGAACGTGGAGGTTTGTTACATAGGTATACACATGCCATGGTGGTTTACTGCACCCGTCAACCCATCATCTACATTAGGTATTTCTCCTAATGCTATCACTCCCCTAGCCTCCCACCCCCCGACAAGCCCCGGTATGTGATGTTCCCCTCCCTGTGTCCATGTGTTCTCATTGTTCAACTCAAAAGAAAAACAGAAGCATTTTCTGCTTTCCCAATTTCTTAAGTACAATGCAACTTTATGTTTAATTTAACTAACTTAATTTTTTGAGACAAGGTCTAGCTCTGTTGCCCAGGCTGGAGTGGAGTGGCGTGAATATGGTTCAGTGAAACCTCCACCTCCCTGGCTCAAGTGATCCTCCTTCCTCAGCCTCTCGAGTAGCTAGGACCACAGGCACGCACCACCATGGCCAGCTAATTTCTTTTTTATTTTTTGTAGAGATGAGGTCTCACTTTGTTGTCCATGCTGGTCTCAAACTCCTGGGCTCAAAGGATCCTCTTGCCATGGCCTCCCACAGCGCTGGGATTTATAGGTGTGTGCCATGACACCAGGCCTAAGCAACTGTAGAGAAGCCTTTTTTTCTTTCATAAAAACAGTTGTAGATATTTTCCTTATGGAATTTATTTGTGGTGAAATATTTTAATAGATGGTTTGTTAATAATTTGTCTCAGATAATAATAATTGATTAATATTAAAACTACAAAACAAGTAGGATCTTCTTTTTCTATGAAAAATGAAAGTTGATTCTGACATTTATGTAAACATTTTAAATATTCAAAGTATATAAATGTGAAGTCCTATCAAGAGTAATTAGACAAGAGAAAGAAATAAAGGGCATTCAAATCGGAAAGGAGGACATCAAATTGTTCCTATTTGCAGATGACATGATGTTATATATAGGAAAACCTGAAGACTACCAGAAAACTTTTAGAACAAACAAATTCAGTGAAGTTGCAAGACACAAAACTAATACACGAAGATTGGTTGCATTTATATATATGAACAACAAACTTGCTGAAAAAGAAATTAAGAAGGCAAACCCATTTACAATAGTTACCAAAAAAAAAAAAAAAAACCCAGACATAAATGTAACCAAGGAGGTAAAATGAAAACTACAAAACACTAATGAAAGAAATTGAAGAGGATACAAACAAATGAAAAGACATTCATACTCATGGATCAGAAATATGAATGTTGTTAAAGTGACAGTACTACTCAAAAGCAACCTACAGATTCAATGCAATCTCTATCAAAATACCTATGAACATTCTTCACAAAATTAAAAAAAAATCCAAAGAGATTTTATGGAATCAAAAAGTATCCTGAATAGCCAAAGCCATCCTAAGCAAAAAGAACAAAGCTGGATGTATCATGCTACCAGACTTCAGAATACACTACAAAACTGTAGTAACCAAAACATCATGGTATTGGCATAAAAACAGACACATAGACCTATGGAATAGAATAAAGAACGCAGAAAATCCACATATCTCAGCCAACGGATTTTTTACAAAGATGCCAAGAACACTCATTGGGGAAAGGATAGTCTCTTCAATAAATGGTGCTGGAAAAACTGGATATCCATATGCAGAAGAATGAAACTAGACCTCTGCCTCTCACCCTATACAAAGATCAACTCAAAGTATCTCAAATACCCAAATATAAGACCCAAAATGGTAAAGCTACTAGAAGAAAACATAGGGGAGATCCTTCAGGACATTGCTCTGGGAAAATATTTTATGAATAAGGCATCAAAAGCACAGGCAACAAAAGAAAAAATAAACAAATAGGATCACATCAAGCTAAAAATCTTCTGCACAGCAAAGGAAATAAGAAAGTGAGTGAAAAGACAACCTACAGAATGGGAGAAAGTATAAACTCATCTGGCAGGAAATTAATATCAAGAATATACAAGGAATTCAAACATATCAACAGCAAAGAAGCACAACAATCTAATTAAATATAAACAAATGCTCTGAACAGACATTTCTCAAAAGAAGACATACAAATGACCAACAAATATATGAAAAAATGTTCAACACCACTAATCAGCAAGGAAATGCTAATCAAAGCCACAGTGAGGCATCATCTTACTCCAGTTAGGATGGCTATTATAGAAGAGACAAAAATAACAAATGCTGACAAAGACGTGAAGAAAAGGGACTTTTTTTTTTGACAGAATCTCACTCTCCGTCCAGGCTGGAGTGCAGTGGTGGTGTAATCTGGCTCCCTCTGCTTCTAGGGTTCAAATAGTTCTCCTCCCTCAGCCTCCTGAGTAGCTGGAGAAAAAGGAACTCTTATGCACTGTTGGTAGGAATGTAAATTAGAGCAGCCAGTATGGAGAACAGTATTGAAACACCTCAAGCAATCCCACTACTGGGAATTTATCCAAAGGAAAGAAAAGCATTATATTGCAGAGACATCTGCATCCCCATGTTTATTGCAACAGTGTTCACAATAGCCAAGATATGGAATCAACCTAGGTTTCCAACAACAGATGAATGGATTTTTAAAATACGGTATATATACACCAAGGAATGCTATTTAGCCATAAAAAAGAATAAATAAAACCCTGTCATTCTCAGCAACATGGATGGAACTGGAGGATATTATGTTAAGCAAAATAAGCCAGGAATAGAAATTTCAGCACCACATGTTCTCACTCACGCAGAAGCTAAAGAAAAGTTGATCTCATAGAAGTAAAAAGTAGAACAGAGGATACTGCAGGCTGAAAAGGGTAGGGAGAAAGGAGGAATGGTAAGAGATTTGTTAATGGATACAAAATTACAGCTAGGTAGGAGTAATAAGTTCTAGTGTTCTATAGTACTGTAGATGACTATAGTTAACAATACTATATTATGTAGTTTAAAATACCTAGGAGTAGTTTGAATGTTCCCAACACAAAGAAATAATAAATGTTTGAGATGATAGATATGCTAATTACCCTGATCTGATCACCATCTACATGTACTGAAACATCCCCGTATAGCCATGAATATGTATAATCTTTGTCAATTTAAAAAGTAAAAAAAAAAATTAATCTTGGAGAATGCATTTGAAGAACTTGTACTCAAGAAATCAACTTAAGAACCTGAGTCTCCTTGGAATTTGTGTTTTCTAGACCAGTACTTCTCCAAATTAAAGCAAATTTAGGCTGGGCATGGTGGCCCATGTCTATAATCTCAGCACTTTGGAAGGCCGAGGCAGGCAGATCACTTGAGGTCAGGAGTTCGAGACCAGCTGACCCAACATTGTGAAACCCTGTCTCTACTAAAAATACAAAAATTAGCCGGGCATGATGGCATGTGCCTGTAATCCCAGCTACTTTGGAGGCCGAGGCAAGATAATCGCTTGAACTGGAGAGGTGGAAGTTGCAGTGAGCCGAGATTGCACCACTGCGCTCCAGCCTGGGCAACAGAGCAAGACTCTGTCTCAAAAAAAAAAAAAAAAAAAGCGAATTTAGTTCACTTTGGTATTGTGTCAAAATGTTGATTCTTTTAAAGTAAATCTAAAGAATTTAGATGTAGTTGAAGATTGTCATCTGTTCTTAATTTTTTTAATAAAAATATAATATTTAGATTCAGAGTAAATCTAAAGTGAGACCTGAAGCTGCTCCCAGGTGATACTGATGCTGCTTATTTTTGCCCAGATTTTTAGTCACAAGGTTCTAAATTATCGTTTTGAAGTCCTACATGAGTAATCACTTGGGGAGCTCAATTAACACCCAGCAACAGACTAATTATTAATAAACCAGAATCTTCAGTATTAGGCTTCAATCATTGGCAATTTTTTTTTTGACACACAGTCTCCCACTGTCGCCCAGGCTGAAGTCCTGAGGCCAGAATGAGACTAGGACATGGTTCCTTTGCCTAAGTAAACTGAGGCAGAAAATGGAATACTTCAGACTTCAAATTAGTATGGTAAGTGCTATGAAGAGTATGATTAGAGTTCATTATTTACCCAGAAAAGGGTCACTCAGCCCAGCCTGGGAGTTAGAGAAGGTTTCCTGAAGTCTTGACATGTGAGTCGTGAAAGGACATAAGGAGTTAACCACGTGACAAAATAAGCTAAGAGAATTCTCAACAAAAGACAAAATATTGGCAAAGGCTTTTAGGCATATACTAGCTTAGTATTATTGGGAGAATGTAATGATTTTCTGTATTTCAAAAGTGTAAAATACAAAGTGGGCCATGATATGAGATAAACCAGTAAATATGTTCTGGGAACAGATCATAGAAGGGCGTGTATGCTGTCCTAAGGAGCTTAAACTTCAACTTCAGTTCATGGGAGCCAATGACAAGATCTGAGCAGGGGAAGGATGTGGCTAGAGGGGCATCTTAGACAGACAAGATCCTCTGTGGATTACACCTAGGCTAAGCAACGGGTTAAAGTTGTTGTCTTAAGACAATAGTCCAGGTAAAAGATAATAAAGTTTTAAATTAGGATGTTAGTAGGAATGAGGAAGAGGGATGGATTTCAGAAATAGTAAGGAAATGTATTAGCAGGACTTGATTAGTGATTGACTTGGGGAAGGAGGGGAAGATAGAGTTCAGGATGACTCCGAGACTGTCTGGTGTCGGTGGCTAATAACTGAAGCTATTAATAGAGGTAGGAAATGCAGACCAAAAGCAGGCCCGGGGTGAGAGATGATAAATTTGAATTTTAACATGTTGAGTTTGGACATCCAGGATGAAATAATCACAAAACATTTAAATATACGAATCTGAAAAGGTAAGCATCATAAGCATATGAGCTATTGGTAAAATTCTGATACTTAATGAAGTATCGCAGGGAGGCAGTACAGAGGCAAGCAATGGGCTGGGGATAAAACATAGGGAAATATTATTTAAATAAAGATGAGAGAAAAGGAACCCACAAAGGAAGCTGAAAAGGCATAGTCAAAAAAAGAGGCTTGCCAAATGCCACCTTTGAAGCTCTGCTGTTACACTTTATAAGGAAACTTTTGGTTACCTGGGATTGCATGCATTTATAAAAGTTTCTATTATTAGGAAGACAATAATAATGATAAGGCTCTTTCTCATTGTTGTCAGTGTAATTTATCTATTTAATTATAGAACCTAGTTCCAGGATGCTTAATCTGAAGTATATACTTGGGGCAAAATGAATTATATCTTAATAATAATCTGGAATTTTTATCTCTAACTTGACATATTTTAATTCTTGCTAGATTTTCAAAGTGTCATACCTTGAACCACCGCCAGATGGCTATGAGAATGTTACAAATACTGCGCCACCATATAATGCTTTCTCAGCCCAAGGCATGCCAGAGGTAAAATAAAATACATTTGTAACCCAAGTCTTTAAATGGTTCTTTTGCTATATAAAACCTGTATAGAGGACTAAAACCAAGGAAATTAGGTGAATCATTCATGCGGATTCATTGTTTGATATTCAGTGCTATGAAAACCTCATCCCTCAAATTTAAAAAATTATAATAAAATAGAAAACAACACCAGACAGAGAAAAAAGAAACAAAACAAATACATTAAAAACTGACCCTGCTGAAGCAGATGACACTCTTCGAAATAACAAAGAAACTGCTGAACACACCTTTAATTCAGTGAGGCAGTAGGTGTTTTTTTCTTTGTTTGTTTTTGTTTCTTTTTTTTTTTTGAGACGGAGTTTCGCTCTTGTCACCCAGGCTGGAGTGTAGTGGCACAATCTGGGCTCACTGCAACCTCCGCCTCCCAGGTCCAAACAATTCTCTTGCCTCAGCCTCCTGAGTAGCTGGGATCACAGGTGCACACCACCACACCCTGCTAATTTTGTATTTTTTTTAGTGGAGGCGGGGTTTCTCTATGTTGGTCAGGCTAGTCTCGAACTCCCAACCTCAGGTGATCTGCTCACCTCGGCCTCCCAAAGTGCTGGGATTACAGGCGTGAGCCACCACGTTAAAAAGGGAAACTTCCTATTTGCCCTCTGAAGGTTTGCAGAAAATGAATGGACAAAACATAAATTAATAGAAGAAAGAGGCAAAAAAAAATTCTGTAAAATGTAGGGGAAAAATCACAGGGTCTCACTCAGTTACCCAGCATGAAGTGCAGTGGTGTGATCATGGCTCCTTGCAACCTTGAATTCTCAAGCACAAGTGATTCTCCCCCCTAAGCCTATGGAGTAGCTGGGATCACAGGGGCATGCCACCATGCCCACATACATGGGTATTTGCTGGAGGGGAGATGGAGACTCTCTGTCCTGGATGTGAGACAGGTGGCTGGCATCTGGGTAAGGATGACATTCCCTCATTGCTAAAGAGTAAAAGAGGAAAGTGTCATGGATAGTGCAAGCAGGGACATGCCCTGACCTAGTGAGGTCCAGAGGCTTATATTATCCTTCATAGGGGAGTGGGAAGAAGCGAGTGTAGGCAACCCAGGGGAAATAAATGACCTAAAATAAAAGAAATAGATCATCAGAAGTGTAGATGTATTAGTCAGGGTTCTCTAGACTGACAGAATTAAAGGACTATATACATATATATATATGAAGGGGAGTGAGATGGTTAATAATGAGTGTCAACTTGATAGGATTGAGGGATATGAAGTATTGATCCAGGGTGTGTCTGTGAGAGTGTTGCCAAAAGAGATTAACATTTGAGTCAGTGGGCTGGGGAAGGCAGACCCACCCTTAATCTGGTGGGCACAATCTAATCTGCTGCCAGCAAATATAAAGCAGGCAGAAAAATTTGAAAAGGAGAGACTGGCCTAGCTTCCCAGCCTACATCTTTCTCCCATGCTGGTTTCTTCCTGCCCTCAAACATTGGACTCCATGGCTCTCCTTTCTCATCAGTTTGCAGACAGCCCACTGTGTAACTTATGATCCTGTAAGTTAATAAACTCCCCTTTATAAATAAATATATGTGTGTGTGTGTGTGTGCGCGCATATATATGTATGTGTGTGCGTATGTATATATATATGTATATATCCTGTTAGTTCTGTCCCTCTAGATGTCACTGGCTAATACAGGAAGTTTATTAAGTATTAACTCACACAATCACCAAGTCTCACAATAGGCCATCTGCTGGATGAGGAGCAAAAAGAGCCAGCCAGAGTTCCAAAACTGAAGAACTTGGAGTCCATGTTCGAGGGCAAGAAGCATCCAGCATGGGAGAAAGATGTAGGCTGGGAGGTGAGGCCCGTCTCTTTTCACATTTTTCTGCCTGCTTATAGTATGGCTGGGTTGGCAGCTGATTGGATTGTGCCCACAAAGATTAAGGGTGGGTCTGCCTTTCCCAGCCCACTGACTCACATGTTAATTTTTTTTGGCAACACCCTCACAGACACACCCAGGATGAATACTTTACATCCTTCAATCCAATCAAGTTGACACTCATTATTAACCATCACAAGCCCACCCCTTGTGAACTTGAACCCACACACATCTCCTGAGATCATACATAATCTTAAAATACAGACAATAGTAAGGTCATAATTACCCCTAACATAATAAACTATCCTTCCTACAACTGGAAATGCACCCATCCCCAACCCAAATACTCTTACATAAAGTAAACAATACTTAAATGCTGATATGAGGTCAGCAAATCTATGTCACCTGATAAAGAAAAGGGAAATGAAATGAAGATATTTTCTTAGTACAAGTGCATACATGCACAAACATGTTTTTAACAAAAGAAGGAAATACTCATGATAGTTCCAGTCCTCATTTCTGCAGCTGGTCAGGTGGTTGTAGCTGGTATTGATAACTACTTTATTCCACTATTCATTCTGTATTCCCTTTGCCTTCAGCAAGCACCTCAGCAGGTTGTGACCCGGAGAGGATCTGGACCGTTTGTAGTCCTACCTGGATTGGGTATAGTTTCCCATTTACCTTAATCAGAGTGCATGATAATACCAAGAGACGCCCTAATGGATCTCCTATATTCCATGCATACTCTTCCTCACTTCCATTGTGGAGTAGCGGACTGACTTCATCTTGATAGTCTGGGTCAATCACTGCCGCCAACACTGTAACTCCATTCTTAGCTTGTTGACTTAAAGGTAGGAGGACCCCAAAGCATCCAAGTGGCCATCTTAACTTCCAGTTTAATGGAATCGTTATTGTGTCTCCTGGTAGCAGCGTTCTTCCCTCTGGAGTTAAGATGACTAGTAAAGCAGAACCTAATGTCGTGGGAACAGAAAGCAAACATTTTGCTAGTGCATCATAGTGAGTGGTTCCACTTTCACATCCACCCCTTGAATCCTGGATCTGTGAATCCTGGCTATGGGAGAAACAATACCATACATTGGGCGCTGATTCAGAGCACACATGGTCTTCTGGAGTATGGTGCCCCGGCCCGGCAAAGTATTGCAACCTAGTTGATGTTGTAATCGCGACCTCAAAAGGCCGTCCCACCATTCTATCAATCCAGCTGCTTCAGGAAGATGGGGAATATGGTAAGACCAGTGAATTCCGTGAGCATGAGCCCACTGCCTCACTTCTTTACCTGTAAAGTGAGTGCTTGGTCAAAGGTAATGCTGTGTGGAATACCGTGATAGTGGATAAGGCATTCCTTGAGTCCATAAATGGTAGTCTTGGCAGAAGCATTGCATGCAGGTAGGCAAACCCATATCCTGAGTAAGTGCCTGTTCCAATGAGGACAAACCTCTCTCCTTTCCATGGTGGAAGAGTTCCAATATGATCAACCTGCTACCGGGTAGCTGGTCGATCACCCCAGGAAATGATGCCATACAAAGGGTTCACTGTTAGTCTCTGCTGCTGCTGGCAAATTGGGCACTCAGCAGTGGCCACAGACAGTTCAGCCTTGGTGAGTGGAAGTCCACATTGCTGAATCCATGCATAACCTCCATCCCTGCCACCATGGCCACTATGATCATGGGCTTATTGGACAATGACAGGGGTGTCTGAGGAAAGAGGCTGAGTGGTATCCACAGAACGGGTCATCTTATCCACTTGATTATCAAAATCCTCCTCTGCTGAAGTCACTTGTTGGTCAACACTCACACAGGGTACAAATATCTTCAGTTTTTGACCACTCAGAGAGGTCCATCTACATACTCTTTCTCCAAGTTTCTTTGTCACCAATTTTCCAATCATGCTTCTTCCAAGTCCCTGACCATCCAGCCAAACCATTGGCTACAGCCCATGAATCAGTATATAACCGCACATCTGGAAATTTCTCCTTCCATGCAAAGTGCACAATCAGGTGCACTGCTCAATGTTCTGCCCACTGGGAAGATTGTCCTTCACCACTGTCCTTCAGGGATGTCCTAGAAAGGGGCTGTAGTGCTTCGGCTGTCCACTTTTGGGCAGTACCTGCCTATTGTGGAGAACCATCTGTGAACCAGGCCCTAGTCCTCCCTTCCTGTGTCAACTGCTCAAAGGCAAGTCCCCATGAGGTCATCAGTGCAGGCCATGGGAGAGAAGGCAGGGTGGCAGGAGTAGAGACCATGGGCATTTGAGCCACTTCCTCATGTAACTTACTTGTGCCCCCCAGGACCTGCTTGAGCCCAATCACTTATACACCATTTCCATTTGATGATGGAATGCTGCTGTGCATGACCCACTTTATGGCTACATGAGTCAGAAAGCACCCAGTTCACGATAGGCAGTTCAGGTCGCATAGTGACTTGTTGACTCATAGTCAAATGTTCAGTTTCCACAAAAGCCCAGTATAGGACAAGAGCTGTCTCTCAAAAGGAGAGTAGTTAACTGGAGAAGATGACCGGGCCTTGCTGCAAAATACTAGAGGCCTCCACCATGATTCACCTATGGAGGCCTGCCAAAGCCTCAAAGCAGCATTCCTATCTGCCATGGACACCTCAGGGGGACCCAGCCTCCCCTTCATTCAAGGGGTTCTGGGTCTGTAAACTGGCTCAAGGCTGGAAATTGATTGAGGGGCCATGAATCTCTGTTTTTATGATTCCAGTTAGTCTTTTATCTGTTTGACCTTAAGTTTCCTCCTTACATAAATTAAGTAGGAATGCATTAGTCTTCCTGTCAGTTTCACTTCCAGGAACACTGTGATTAGTTAGCCAATGCCAGAGCTCTACATGAGTCAGACTGTTCAGATTGCTGCTTTGTCTTTTCTGCCCATTACGGTAGCTATGCCCACCGTGCCTTTGAGGGTTGAGTGCTACCACTTGGCCCCTGCCACTTCAGGATCCAATTATTCCAAATTGTATTTAACTTTTGTAACTGAGTGACTGCAGTTCTCACCATTAGATCTGACATACAGAGAAGAGCCTTTACAGGGCTCTTCAAAGATGCAGGTGCTGTCCTCACAAATCTATTTTGCAAGGTGTTTGTCAAGGGTATTAGGTACAGAGTCACTAAACTCCTTGCCTCTCATGAGCGATGATTCATTAGTGTCAAATGAATTTGTTTTGCGTAGCTCTTTAAACCTTTCATGCCAAGAACTGTCAATATTCTCTACACTATTAAAAGTAGAGTCCTTAGCATTTTGGGATCTAATCATATTTAGCAGCCAAATCCAGAAACCCCAAAACCAACAGAAGAACTCCAACCTTAATATTCTGATCCTGCAGAACCATTCCTGGTACCAAAATCTGTATTAATGAGGGTTCTCTAGAGGGACAGAACTAATAAGTTCTATATATATATATATATATATATATATATATATATATATATATATATATATATATATATATGGGTTTATTACATATTAACTTACAGGATCACAAGGTCCCACAGTAGGCTGTCTGCAGGCATGAGGAGTGAGGAGTAAGGAGAGCTAGCTCGAGCCTCAAAACTAAAGAACTTGGAGTCCGATGTTCAAGGGTAGGAAGCATCCAGCACGGGAGAGAGATGTAGGCTGGGAGGCTGGGCCAGACTCAATTTTTCACTTTTTTCTGCCTGCTTTATATTCACTGGCAGCTGATTAAATGGTGCCCATAGATTAAGTAGGGGGTCTGCCTTCCCCAGACTACTGACTCAAATATTAATCTCCTTTGGCAACACCCTCACAGACACACCCAGGAGCAATGCTTACATCCTTCAATGTAATCAAGTTGACAATCAGTATTAACTATCACAGGATTACAGACCTGAGCCATCACACACAGTGTTATTGTATATTTCATACAATATAAAATATTCCTGATTTTCCCATTTTATCTGTGACTTAATAAAGTTTTTCAGCTATGACCCCAAACTGGTAGTACTTGAAAGCACATTCAAATGTATTTTACAACAATTCATAACTGGCAAAATGTTGAGCCTTGTGGAAAGAGTCACCTTACTTCCCCGTCAGCTGTCAATTCCCCATCATTACTATCACTTCCCGGAGCACATTTTCCAAAACTCCTTTTCTCTCTATGGTTTCTTTAGAGTTGCTCCATGAGGTTACGATAAGTTACAACTAATTACTGTCATGAGATTGGGAAGTCAGAGTGGTGGATTCATGTACACTGACACCTGAAGTAAAACACATGCAGTTAGGTGTGGACTGGAGAATCACCTGGAGATGTGCTGCAGGCAGCTGAGAGCATCAGCACCCCCGGCCCTGGGCTTCCCAGACAGGACTGAGGATCATCACACGGTGTTCAGCACATACCACCAGGGGCAGGTGCATCCTGGCTTCTGAAGTAGCACCTGAGAATCCCCTGTGTCTAGTACCTGCTTCATGAATAACACTCCATAGGCTTCGGAAAGACTGTGGTTTAGACTCTAATTTATTCAACTTGAATAATTTCTCCTTGAAATACTGAGAATAGCTTCTCTTTTGCTGTACAAATTCCAATTATCCCATAACACAGACTCCTCAGCTGGACTTATCTCTCTTCTTTATTCAGTCAGGACAGGCATTGTCACGTCTTTTCTGCTGGGGATGAGGGCAAAAGAGGCTTAGCGTTCAGAGGAACCTCCCTGGCCTCCTCTAGGAAAATCTCCCGATGACTTTCCAAACCTGACTGAGTTTGAGAACTTCCCTCAGCAGATAGAGGCACCAGAAGGAGCACTGGGGCAGCCCAGCCTCACACATCTGCTTCCTTGGGGTTTATGTTATGACTTGTAACACTGTGGGAGGGTTACTGTCACTCTGTTGACAGTAATAAGTTGCAAAATCTTCAGGCTGCAGGCTGCTGATGGTGAGAGTGTAATCTGTCCCAGATCCACTGTCACTGAACCGAGAGGGAATCCCACTTTGCAGACTGGATGCAGCATAGATCAGGAGCTTAGGAGTTTTCCTTGGTTTCTGCTGATACCAATTTAAATTATTGCTAATGCCCTGACTCGCCCGGCAAGTGATGGTGACTCTGCCTCCTACAGATGCAGACAGGGAGGATGGAGACTGGGTCATCTGGATGTCACATCTGGCACCTGAAGTTAGAAACATAAAAACAAATATTCTTGCAATTAATCATGTTATCAGAGGACTTCCCTGAAGTTCCAGACAGTACTGAGCACACTGACCGAGTATAATCCTAGTGTTCTCCTTCCTTACCTGTCAGCCAGAGCCCCAGGAGCCCCAGGAGCCCCAGGAGCTGAGTGGGGGCCCTCACGTCCGTGCTGTGTCCTGACTGGGGCTGACTCCTGCACCAGGTGTGGCCAGCCTATAAGAAGTCTTCAGGGCAGGGGGCTGTGCTCTAGGAACAGGCAAATCAGCAGGGGATGGGGCAGGCTGAGCACAGCTGCAGGGCTGGCTCATCTCAGTAACTCAGCACACGGGCGCAGTATCCCCAGAGTCCCAGGTCAGACCAGGGCAGCACAGATTTACCTTGAAAGAGTACACTTCTCATTGGTGGCCATATGGTTACAGAACATATTTTTGGAGTGAATTTTCAAAATTTTAAATCAACCTAAGACTAGATTAAATAATATATTTATACTTGTATTAAGAGTGTATAGGAAAGCATCATTTTTGGCAGAAAATTTACAATAAAGTTATAGAGTGTGGGGCTGTCAGAAATTTCAGTTAGTCTCAAAGGAATTTGATGAGTGTAAAAGTATTTAGTGCTATAATAACAATGTCTCTGTCAGTGTGAAATTGCTTCTTTTTTGAAATGAATATAAAAAGAATTTATCAGAAGCATCTTTAATAAATTCAATAGAATTTACTAACAAACTTAAGACATTGTTCCTAGGAGTAAAAGCAAAAACAATTCTCTGAAGATGTACAAAGATGATAATGTGTCACGCATAGATCTGCCATTATCCAGAGCTATGGGTCTCTTTAAGACCCAGGGGCTAAATGGGCTGCACCTTATTCTTGGCGTGATGATCCCCATATTCTATCCCCTTTCCTGCCTTTGGTATAATTTCTTATGGTTCTCCAGCATGGAGAGCTGACTAGTAATACCAGGTCTCATTATTTCAAAATCTCTGTTTCACTCGCGGACTATAGGAGCCAGGATTAAAATCAACTTGAAGCCCTCTATCAATCTAGGCTCAAATAATCAATTGTTTCAAAGTAGGATGACAAAGGCCACATCCCCTGAGTAATGCTCTGAGCTGCGCTCCCCACCAGCCTGTTCCTGGGGTCTCAGGAGCATCTGCCCTAGAGTCTGGCTTTCTGGAGAGCAGGTGAGGGGGGAAAAGCCAGGTCAGTGAACCTCTCTCCTTAGCGAGGGCAGCTGCTGCCCAATGCATTTTCTTGCCATGCACCAGGGCATCGTCCTGACCCAGATGCCAGCCACCTGTCTCACATCCATTTAGAGAGAATCTCCATCTTCTGCCAAGACACTGCCCATGTAGATGAAAAAGTATTTTGCCTCCAAACATATCTTAAGCACTGATTTGAACCTCAATACTTCACACAGATGCCTTTGCCCAGGGCGTGTCGGCCTGGCTCAACAGCAGGGGAAGTGGAGCCAATTACATCAGTGTCAGTGGACTGAGAAATACTCCAGGGAGTAGTTCTCATGCACGACTACCAGTGGCTAGACCAAGGTAGTGCAGCCTGTGCACAAACCTCCTGCTGCTTTTCCAGAGAACTGGATTTCTGGGAAATGGCTACTGAACAGGCTGCCAGGATCCATATATCCAGATTCAGAGAGATACATCTCTGGATTCAAATGCGCTTTTTCTTTGTGCATAATTTTAGCAGTCATTGTTACTATGCCTTGGGGATTCTAGTCATTATACTTCAGCTGACTCTCTATGGCCCTTTCTCCCCTTCACTGCTCTGTCTGAACCTGGGGAAGCAGCTCAGGCTGCAAATGAGGCAGACCTCATGGCCTGGAATTAGCATCCCCTAGGACGGCTGTCAATCAGTGATGACAAGGGAGGTGTACACATCCCGCAGCTCCCTCACCTCTCAGGTGGAATAACAGAGGCATTTTTCCTGTGTTTCTATGTGGGCTTGAGCTCTCGTCATCCTCAGAGGTGGCTCCTTCTGAGGCACCTTTCACTTTCCCTTTCCCTCCTCCCCTCCCTTGCTCATTTGCTTGTTTCCCGCCCTTTGTAAATATACTGCCTGCATGCGAATCTTTGGCATCCTTCTCACTGAGGGGACCCAACCTAATGCATTGGAAAAATCCTCATTCTTGGAGGGCATCATTGGTTTGAATTATTGCCACTTCTCATGCTTTAATGCATAGGGAAATTCCAAAAATTTAGGAAATCTTTAAATTCCCTTTGCCAATCTTTCTTAGATTCGATTTTAGCAGAGATTCATTTTCTCTAGGTCACAAAATCACAGAAGCCTTCCACAAATGGCTACACAACATAGAGTCCACATAGAGCAGAGACTCAGAATCTCCCAGGATTTGACATCCACACATCAGACAGTCCTAGATTCTCAGGTTTTTTCTAGGTCGATCGCCTCGTAAATCTGCCTTGTGATATTTTTATTCTACCTTAGGGGAAGACCATTGTGTGGATGATGAGGGTTGTTTGTGGAATGAATAATACACCCACTAAAGACATCATTGTCCTAATATCTGGAATCTATGATCATTACTTATGAATATGTCAAAAATAACTTGGCAGACATGGTTGAGAATTTGGGGGTCAGGAGAGTATCCTGAATGATCTGGGTGAGACCATCATAATCACAAGGGTCCTTATAATAGGGAAGGAGGAAGGTAACAGCCAGAGAGGACCTGGGACAACGGACAGGGAAACTGGAGTGATGGAGGAAGGGGCCATGCTGCTAGGAATGTGGGAACATCAGAAAGATGGAATGCTCGATATTGGATTCTCTCTCTTGAAGCCTAGAATGAATAGAGCCCTATTACTCCTTGATTTTACTTCATTGAGACTTCTGACCTCCAGAAATGTAAGATAATACACTTGTGTTATGGGGAGCAGTAAGGTTGTGGTAATTTGTTACGGCAGCAACAGGAAACCAATGCAAGGGGAAGGGGTGTGTTTTACTTCCCTAGTGTATCACTGTCCTCTGTTCTCCCAAATAGTTCTGTGTTTTTGTGTTTGCTGTCAATTTCAACAAGAGACAGAAAACATTTTTCTATGAGGAGAGCTAGCACCACAATTCTTCTTACGTAGAAAGTGTCTTGAGTAATTCTCTGGGTTAGGTCTTGTACAATCTTGGTATCTGAGAGCCTGGAGGTCATCCCTCACAGCACATGAGAAGAGGAAGGGGATGCGGGTTTGCTGTTTTAACATTTGTAGGGCAAATTAGATGTACAAGACCCATTATTATTATTATTATTATTGTTCTTTAAGTTCTAGGGTACATGTGCACAACGTGCAGGTTTGTTACATATGTATACATGAGCCATGTTGGTGTGCTGCACCCATTAACTCATCATTTACATTAGGTGTACCTCCTAATGCTATCCCTCCCCCCTCACCCCTCCCCCCACCCCACGACAGGCCCTGGTGTGTGATGTTCCCCTTCCTGTGTCCATGTGTTCTCATTGTTCAATTCCCACCTGTGAGTGAGAACATGCAGTGATTGGTTTCTTTGTCCTTGTGATAGTTTGCTGAGAATGATGGTTTCCAGCTTCATCCATGTCCCTACAAAGGACATGAACTCATCCTTTTTTATGGCTGCAAGCGAGGACTGAGTCAGAGAGATGGGGATGGCAGAGGAGACAAAATGTGGTCAGGGCCGTGTAAGATGTGACCCTGCTGCCATATCTGAAAGAAAGGCTGTTGGTGTTTGTAAAGGCTTTGGGCAAATTGTGCTTTGTAGACAAAACTGTAGAAGGGTCTGGGTTTAAGCTTAGTGTCAGCGTGATGAGGAGTAGAGGTCGCAGTGAGCTTGTGTTAAGAAATCCACCCTGCACTTCTGGCTTTGTCTCTTTTCTGGTTTTATAGGTGGTGGGTTCCTCTATGGAATGAACGTGGCTCTGTGGAAGGAACATAGTTAAGGTCAGACAGACCTAGATTCCAAGTTCAGCTTCAACAACTGCTGACCAAGTGATTTTTATGCAAATCAGCCATGTGCTGTCATGAACAGTTTCCTCACGTGTGAAATGGGGCACTGAGGATGTGAAGGGGTGTCCTGAGGGTTCCGCCAGCTGATGCACCATGAAGTGTACATACATGTATAGACAGACACACACACATACATGAGAAGAGTATCTAGTGTCCCTTTTATGCATTGCATTCTTGAGTAACTCAGAATGTTATGTGAGATATTAACAGTCATATGTCATTTTCAACTAAAATTATCAATATTTATCTTATAACTAACAGATGCTTCTCTGTACACTGTAGGTTTCATGTACATTTCTTCAATCACAAAATTTTTCACCAATCTATTTACGTCTAGTATCAGAAAGTTAAGCAAGGAGATTGCAAACCAACACAACACCTTTAGTCTGGATTTTCCCAGAGCCCCATTTGTGTTAGTGTCCTCGGGCTACTGTAACAAGTTCTCAAAAATGTGGTAGCTTCAAACAACAGGAATGGAATCTCTCATAGTTCAGAAGTCCAGATCAGTTTCACTGGGCTAAGATCTTGGAGTCATCAGTACTGGCTCCTTCTGAAGCTCTAGGGAGCAGTCTGATTTAGCTCTTCCAGCTTCTGGTGGCTTCTCTCTCCCGGGATGTGGACACATCACTGCAATCTCTGTCTCTGTGTTCACACTGCCTTCTCCACTTCAGTCTATGCTAAATGTCTCTCTACCTCTTGTTTTTATTAGGACACTTGAGTTTGCATTTAAGTCCCAGTTGATTAATCTAAGACCATCTCCCTGTTTCAAGCTCCTTAATTTACACCTGCAAAAGCTGTTTTCCCAAATGAGATACATGCATAGTCTTCTTGGAATGAAACCTCACTATTTGGGGATGATACTCATTACTACACCATTACATAACTAGGTCTCAGTGTTAGTCCTGTACATACATCACAATCTCTTTCTCTCTCTCTCTCTCTCTCTCTCTCTCTCTCTCCACACACCCTGGCTTCCTCCTTTTCTCAATGTCATAAATCTCTTCAATTCCTTAAGTGTATCCAGTGATACCTATAAACAAATAAGCATCTGAGAAAAGTCTCAATCAGTTTAGAAATTTATTTGGTCAAAGTTAAAGAAATATCAGTGAAACAGCCTCAGGAGGTCTTGAGAACGTGTGTCAAAGGTCGTCGGGCTACAGGTTGGTTTTACACGTTTTAAGGAGACATAAGATATCAATCAATACGTGTAAGCTGTACATTGCTTTGATATTGAAAGGCAGGACAGCCCGAAGGAGGGGGGATATTGGGGACTTCCAGGTCATAGGTGGATTCAAAGATTTCATAGGTGGTTGAAAGAGTTTATCTAATGACCTGTAATCAACACAAGGGAGTTTCTGGGTTTAGAAAAAGGGTTTTGGAGCCAAGGTTGCATCATGCAGATGAAGCCTCCAGGTAGCAGGCTTCAGAGAGAATAGATTGTAATTGTTTTTTAGTAGACTTAAAAGGTGCCAAACTCTTAGTTAAATCTCTCTGGGTCAGGAAAGAGACTTAAAAAGGAATCTCTACAGAATTTAGATTTTTCCCACAAGAACCAGCTTTGCAGAGGCATTTTTAAATACATTAAATAACAATATCTTGGGGAAAATACTTTGATTTCTCTTAGGACGTGGTATCTGTCACATTGGTATCTTATTGCTATAAAGAGTTTTCTTTGTCAGTCTCAAGGTCTCTGTCTTCATATTAAAAGCTGGTCAGTTCTGCCTGAATTTTAAAGGGAAGAGGGTAAGTTAAGGCATATCCAATCATCCGTTCCGATCATGGACTGTATTGTATTTCAGGTTGATTTTGGTGTGTCCTTGGCTGAGAGGAGGAGTTCATTCAGTTGGTTAGGGAGCTTAGAGTTTCATTTTTGGTTAACACACCTATGTCCAGGTAAGAGGGCCTCACACAGGAGGGCTTGCTCAGAACCTGGCTTGCAGGGCTGCTTACAGACCTTCTATGTCTCCTGTTGTCATGCACAAGGAAGGACACAGCCAATGACAAAACTCAGCCATCCGGGGAGAAGCTGTGTCTGCAGAGGACGGTCATGAGCTGTGAGTCTAGAGACCTGTGATTGTCTTCAGGGGCCTGTGGTCCTCGGCTTTCATAGGAGTTGTGGGGGCATGGCTCAAATAGCATCCACCAGGATTCCAATCAGAATATCTCATTCACAGAAGGCAGTGGGTGATATGACAGCACAGAGGGACTCCGTGGGTCCAGCTGCATGGAGCACTCTGGGAGAGTCACTGGCACCCATGCTAGACAGAGCTTCATTCAACTTCTGGAGCACACGGATTTAGATCTCTTTACATCATTTTGAAAGACCATTTATCATTCTGAAGGAAACCACTGTAATTAACTAAGGTAACATCTTTAATAGGTAGAAAGAAAAAAGTGACTATTTTATTGCCAAGATGATGACAAGAAAAGAAACAAAAATAGCATGAAGGAAAGAGCAACACCAGACTGAGGGCTTTGGGTAAGAGGTTGAGACTTAGTAGTGAATGCCCTGGGCCATCTTCTGTCAAAAGGGAGGGACAATCAGCAAAGGGAAATATGCAGTAGAGGCAAAATCTTGGTTAGTAAAAGAATCCTAAGAGAAAACAAGAAGTCTCCTTCCTGAGCATCATGTTGGTGTCAGGAAGATGCACATAATCCCCCCATTGCATGTCTTACACTTTTCAGCAATTAGGGCTCAGCATGAATTTAGAAGACACCATTCACTTCACAGCAGATGGGGACACAGTCAAGGCAGTGGTGAGAGGCAAGGCTGGGCTTTCAGTCTCAGAGCACAGAGCAGGTTCCCCACTACTCCGCACCCTGGTGTCTCCTCCCAGATGTTCCAGATGGTCCACCTCATTCTTGCCTTAAGGGCTCCAAGTTGTTAATGGGACAGTAGCCCTCTTCCTTTCCCAGGGTTTCTAAGAATTTGGCTCTCTTTTGTGTATTGCGGGGTTTGTTTGCCATCTAGAGGCAGGTTTTTGGCATAGCAACTTATAGGCTTTTTCTACTTGTGATAGCGAAAATAAATACATAAATAAATTCATCATAAATAATAAATGGACTTAATGCATTCAATCTGTAAAAAAATATAAGGTCAGTTTGAGAGCTTAAAAGGAGCCTGATGAGGTTAAAAAGACAAATTACCTTTAGTAAAGAGCAGTTGGAGCAATAGATGATTCTTTAATCAATGACATTTTAGGAGTAACTATCAAATGGTAAATAAAACTTGAAATAAGATGATAAACTATAATTTTATATGCAAAAAAAATATTTCCAAGAACCATACAAATACATTTTCAGATTAAAACAAAAAATGTGGGTTTATCATCATATCCGCTAAATGGAAGATTTCTCAAATGTGTGCTTGGAGCAAAAATAACACTTATCCCTATTTGAAAGTTCAAGATTTTTGAGCTTTCGAAGAAAACAGCTTTCCCTTCACTCTGTTCCACTCACGCTTCTGAGGATGGCCATGGGGCAAAAAGCCACGGGGGCGGGGGGCAAAAAGCCGCGGCGCCTGGGGTGCAAAAAGCCGCCGCGGGCAAATAACCGCGGCACGGGGCGGGGGGGCGTGGGGCGCAAAAAGCCGCCATAGCGGGGGAGCAAAAAGACGCGGCGGCGGGGGGCAAAAAGCCGCGGCGACAAAAAGCCACGGCGGCGGGGGTGAAAAAGCCGCGGCGGCGGGGGTGAAAAAGCCGCGGCGGCGGGGGTGAAAAAGCCGCGGCGGCGGGGGTGGGCAAAAAGCCGCGGCGGCGGGGGGTAAAAAGCCGCGGCGGGCAGAAAGGCGCGGCGGCGGGGCAAAAAGCCGCGGCGGCGGGCGGCAAAAAGTCGTGGCGGCGGGGGTGCAAAAAGCCGCGGCAGGCAAATAACCGCGGCACCCGGGGCGCCAAAAAGTTGCGGAGGGCAAAAAGCCGGGGCAGGCATAAACCCGAGGCGGCGGGGAGACAAAAAACCGCGGTGGGCAAAAAGCCGCGGCGGCGGGGGGCAAAAAGCCGTGGCAGCGAGGGGCAAAAAGCCGGGTCGGGCAAAAAGCCAGGTCGGGCAAAAAGCCGCGGCGGCAGGGGGCGAAAAGCCGAGGCGCGCAAAAAGCCGCGATGGTGGGGGGGCAAAAAGCCGCGGCGATGGGGGGCAAAACGCCGCGGCAGCGGGGGACAAAAATCCGTGGCGCGGAAAAAGCCGCGGCGGCGGGGGTGCAAAAAGTCGCGACGTGCAAATAACCGCGGCACCGGGGGGGGGGGGGGGTGTGGGGGGGTGCAAAAAGCCGCGGCTGTCAAATAACCGCGGAACCGGGCGGGGGCCACGGCGGCGGGGGTGAAAAAGCCGTGGCGATGCGGGGGGCAAAAAGCCGCGGCGACAAAAAGCCGCGGCGGCGGGGGTGAAAAAGCCGCGGCGGTGGCGGGGGGCAAAAAGCCGGGTCGAGCAAAAAGCCGCGGCGGCGGCGGGGGTAAAAAGCTGCGGCCGGGCAGAAAGCCGCGGCGGCGGGGGGCAAAAAGCCGCGGCGGTGGGGGGGACAAAAAGCCACGGCGACGGGGGTGAAAAAGTCGCGGCGGCGGGGGAGCAAAAAGCCGCGGCGGCGGCGGCGGCGGCGGCGGCGGCGGCGGGGGGTAAAAAGCTGCGGCGGGCAGAAAGCCGCGGCGGCGGTCGGGGCAAAAAGCCGGGTCGAGCAAAAAGCCACGGCGGCGGGGGTGAAAAAGCCGCGGCGGTGGGGGAGCAAAAAGCTGCGGCGGCGGCGGGTGGTAAAAAGCCGCGGCGGGCAGAAAGCCGCGGCGGAGGGGGGAGCAAAAAGCTGGGTCGAGCAAAAAGCCGCGGCGGCGGCGGGGGTAAAAAGCGGCGGGGGGCAGAAAGCCACGGCGGCGGGGGGCAGAAAGCCGCGGCGGTGGGGGGGTAAAAAGCCAGGTCGAGCAAAAAGCCGCGGCGGGCAGAAAGCCGTGGCGGCGGCGGGGGGGGCAAAAAGCCGCGGCGACAAAAAGCCACGGCGGCGGGGGTGAAAAAGCCGCGGCAGCGGGGGTGGGCAAAAAGCCAGGTCGGGCAAAAAGCCGCGGCAGTGGGGGTGCAAAAACCCGCGGCGGGCAAAAAGCCGCGGTGGCGGCGGGGGGCAAAAAGCCGCGGCGGCGGCGGGTGGCGGGGGGGTAGGGGGCAAAAAGCCGGGTCGGGCAAAAAGCCGCGGCGGCAGGGAACTAAAAGCCGTGGCGGGCATAAACCCGAGGCGGCGGTTGGGGGCAAAAAACCGCGGTGGGGAAAAAGCCGCGGCGGCGGGGGAAAAGCCGAGGTGGTGGTTGGGGCAAAAAGCCGCGGCGGC
The DNA here is from genome assembly GCF_000001405.40 of Homo sapiens. Classification (NCBI taxonomy): domain Eukaryota; kingdom Metazoa; phylum Chordata; class Mammalia; order Primates; family Hominidae; genus Homo; species Homo sapiens. Next base: position 25,108 of record NT_187372.1, read on the forward strand.
GGAGAACAAAAAGCCGCGGCGGCGAAGGGCAAAAGAGCCGCTGTGATGAGGGTCAAAAAGCCGCGGCGACGCGGGGCAAGATAGTGGAGATGGGGTAGAAGGCCGGCACAGCTTGGCTTTGCTGGAGTGTGATGTGATAGGAAATGTGCAGCCAAAGACAAAAAAAGATGTAAGTAGGCTTGACTCATTGCAGCCAAGAACCCAGATGTTATCTTGAGGGTTTTAACTAATAAGCAGTTTAAATCAGAATGGCACATTCTGATTTGTTTTTTGTATATTCACATTTGGCAGGCATAGATACCGTTCGAAGAGAAAAATGTCAGTAGATAGAGGTAACAAACTTAAATATGTGCCGAGTCTAGAAACAAGAGACTAGGGGGATAAGGACCTTTTGAAATAAAATGCGAGATTTGAAAACTGATTGGGGGATGAGGAAAAGGCAGGTCTTTAAGGTCAATCCCTGTTTTGCTTTAAGTTGTTAGGGGGTGGTTTTATCACATATTGTAGAATACGTCATTTCAGTTTTGAACATCTTGAGTTAAATCGTCCTAACATAGCTTATGAATTTGATTTTCTTCCCTGGGAAGCTAATATTTCAAAAACTGAAAGAGTATATAGATTTCCAACTTGTATCCAATTTATAAAACTATCTCTAGGCTGCTGATTTCAGGAGGAGGCTCATGAATATTCTATTTGCAGAGAATATATCAGGAGTTAACATCAGCGTCAATATTTGTGGACGACCAGTTAACTAAGCCACCTCTTAGTGTATTTAGATGGGAAATCTTAGCTGAAGATATTCAATAATGAACCAACAGTGACTAAAAAATGCAATATTTAAGTATATTTCATTGTAATTAATTTGAATTGAAGTAGCCCTATACAGCTAGTATTTACTACATTGAACAATGCAAATAAGAGGAAAAAATTAATAACCATCTCTAATACCACATGCCAAAATCCTCATCAATTTATTCTAGCTGAAGGAGTTGATCAGAAGCAGCAGTTGAAAGCATCAATTAAACCAGCTGGGGTTAGTTCACTGTCATTCTCTCAGAACCATCTCTTCTCTGAACAAAACAAGTACAAGAGTTCATTGTAAATCTGCATTTTCCTTGCCTATTTTAAGGTTTTGATGTTGACACTAATTTGTGAAATCCCTCCTGTGGTGTGATATTTCGTTTTCCTTGCTTTTTGTTAGGACAAGAATGCTTCAGCTCTTAATTTAAAATTATGTTTCTCCCTCCTAGGTTGAGTGAACTTAGAATGCATTCTCTGACATATCCAAGTTTTTGTTAATATGAATTTGGGGAACAAAGCATACTTAATTAGCTAAGACTTCTTATTCTAGGCTTGACCCTGTGTTCGACATCTATTGAATTTGTAGTTGCATGGGCTGCTCTCTGACACTGGTTACTGACCTGGAAGCTATATTAACATTAGGGGAGGTGGTGTATGAGCATTAGAGGTATCCTTGCAAGGAAAGACTTGTCTTAACTCAATACATCTTTTTTTTGCACACAAGAAAGTCAGTGTTTGAGTCTTCTAAAATCTTCCTATTTCCAAGTTGCAGAGTACCATTGATTCCTAAACAAAGACCTAATTTTTGACTCAGAGACGTGGCAAGGTAGTGAATCACCATTATAATTTAACAATCTTCAAGATAAAATTATCTCTCTGATATTTAGATTTTGCCCAATTATTAAGATATTTGGGTGTTTCGTTAAGAATGGAAGACTCTAGTCTCTTGAGCAGAGACTATAAAGGCCTCAGATGATCATTTTTACTTTTATGCTCTTTTCTTTAACACCTTCAACACAGTTGGAAGCAGCCGATATTCCCCAGAGTTGTTGTGTTTTTTAAACCAAATGCATGGTTCAGTGGTAGAAAACTGGGCTGATCCAAGCTGTTTTCAGGAAACACTTCATTTCAGGTGACCTATTTCATATTAAATAATCTCTAGATCCTGTCTTCAAAACTAGATCAGATAACCTACCCTGGATTTTCTCCTTTTAGGGTCTGTGAGCTGCAGTCACTTTTGTGAAAATGATTGCAATGAAAAGATAGAGTTGTAGATGGGGAAAATGTTTTGACTAATTTAAGCATAGTGGTATTTCATATGAGAATTTAAGTTACACACATTTGAAAATTATAATGGAGTCTCTTGGCTGAGCTTTAAAAAAAAATAGCGTTTAGGCTAGTGAGAAGTTTTGATCTTGCCATTCCCAAGTAACTCTCTTAATAAGAGGCATCAGCATACTTCAGTGTCACTTTCCAGTGCTGAGAGTCATCTTTGAGTTCTCCATTTGACTCCCTACACTCCAATTTAGCTGCAGTTCTCTTGGCTAGTCCTATGAAATACATCCATGGCCTAATGACTTCTCACCACTACTACCACTCATCCTGACAGCATTCTCACCTAAGTCACTACCTTTTTTCTCTGGATTAGAGTAGCCTCCCAATTTATTTGCTCACAAAACCTATTTATTCTACACGGTGCACAAGATACACCCCTTTGAAATGCAAACACAATCATGTTATTCTCTGGTTAAGTTATCTCATATATTCCTATCGCATTTAAAATTAATTCAGAATAATCCCCTGATTATCAAAACCCTACATGCTCTTCCACAATATGGTTTACTTCCAAGATATCTCTTCAACTTTTTTTTCACTGTACTGAATTGGTGACTAATAATCATATTTTTGTTTTTGCACAAAAAGTCTTGACTTGTAAATTTTTCAGTTTCTCCTTTATCCACAGGTAACTCTTTCCTCATAAGGCGAATTGCTTGTTTCCTTGAGTTCTGCTCTCAAAGATACCCTTCATTTTCTACCTAATATTAATAACTTTAATCATTATTCCATTACTATGCTCTATAGTGTATACAATTTCTGTTCTTTGTCATGTTATTAACTAAATTATTTATTTGTTCCAGTAACGTATTCCATAAATATTGTACACATAAAAATTATGTTATTTTTATTGCTGTATGCTCAGCTGCCCAATAACAGTCTGAGGATTAACATATTTGTTAAATGCACAAATACGTTCTTTCACAAATATTAGTTTAATAATTTTATATTAAACTCCCTCTATACTTACAGTATGAATTAGATAATTGAGAATAAACATTCCAGTGGAAAAAACTAAACAATTTGTTGTAAAACATCCTTAAAAGCATCAGAAAGTTAATACAGCAATGAAGAATTACAGGACCAAATTAAGAATGGTATGGAAGCCTGTTTGTGAGGCTTATGTTTGGGTTATCTCTTTACTTAGAGAGACTATAAATCTCAAAAGAGGATTAAATGGAGAAATAACCATATCAACTCACATGGTAAGGGTATTCAAACATCTCTTAGTAATGGAGAAAATTGAAAGAAAAGGAAAAAAAGGGAGAAAGAGAAACAGAGCGAAAGGGATAATGAAGGAGAGAAAGAAGAAGAGAAAGGAAGAGGAAGAAAAGTAAAAAGGAGGAGGAAGAGGGAGGAAGGTGAAAAGAAAGAATGCTAAAGTTTTCAACAACATAATTTATCCTTCTAGAATATGAACGTTGGTCTATTTGATGATGTCCCACAGATTCCTTAGTCTCTGCTCATTTTTTATCTGTTTCTCAGAGTCAATATTTTCCATTTTCTTATCTTCAAGCTCATGACTTCCTCTGTGTGTGCAAATATACTCTTAAATCCCTCTGGTGATTTTTAAATTTTTATCATTGTAGTTTTCCACTCCAGAATTTCTGCTATCTCTGTTGATATTCCTACTTTTTAATATTTTTTCTGAATCCTTTATTTCTTTGTTTATGCTTTCCTTGCGACATTTGAGTATAATTAAGAGAGTTGTCTTAAAGTCTTTGTCTAGTAAGTTTGAAGTCTGGGTTTCCTTAGAGATATTTTCTGTCAGTTTGTTTTGTTCCTTTGAATGAGCCATACTTTCCCGTTCTTTGTATGCCTTGTAACTTTTTTTGAAAACTGGGCATTATAATAATTATAATTACTATGTGGTTACTCTGTAAATCAGACCCTCCCCCACAAACACAGTAATGTTTTGGGGTTTTAAATTTTCTTTACTTATTATATTGTTAAGGATTTTTTTTTTAGTGAAATTTTCCAAAGTGATTTACAAAACTGTTTGCTTTATAAGGTGTGGTCACCGAAGTCTTTTTGTTTCCTTAACAAATGTTAAGCTAATGTTTTGACAGTGATTTTCTTGTATGTCAGGAAGTAAGCAAACAGGCAAATACAACAAAAACAAAAAGAAAAACAAGTAATCATTGTCCAGCAAAATATGCCTCTAGGCCATGCAGACTGGCTTTGTGCTGGGTTCTTTAAAGCTGGCACAAAGTGTGTGTTCACTCTTGCACTGAGTGAAGTTCAAGTTCACTCTTGCACAGAGCTTGCACTGAGGGGAGGGATCGGCCAAGGTAAAAGTGTAGGGTCTTCTGATGACATTTGTCAGCATGTGGCTTAACCTATGCATACATGTGACTTTCTAGACTCTCCCATGTACGTGAATAATTTTGAATGTCTTAGTTTTCCAAATACTCTTCTCCAACTTTTCTTCCTGTGCTGAAGGTGATCTACTATATGTGTAAACTCTAATTTTTGCCCTAAGCATCTGTGGTTTGTTAGGTCTCCTTGCAGAGTTCCTTGATAATGTCCATTCCTTATCTGTTCTGTATTCTAGCAACACAGAAAAACAAAAGCCTTTCATGAGTCCTTTAGGTATCCCCCAGACCAGTCAGAACAGACACATAGTAATTTGCGGGTAAGATCTTCTCTTGTTCCTTTGGACCATGGACCAGTGTTCCTCACTGGGAACGTGGGCTTCTGACACTTCAAAACTGCCAATTTGCTGGGGCAAAGGCAAGCTAAAAATGTCATAAAGTTTTCAAGTTGTCTTTTTCTTGAGTCTGCTTTCACTCGGTTGTTGTAATCTTTCGACTATTTTCCAGAGTTTTGGCAAAGTTTATTTGGACAGTTTCTCTTAGTTGTGTGATGTTTCTGTGGGGAAATGAAAGATTGCAGCTGTCTCCACTGCCATTTTGCTGATGCTCCTCTTTTGTCAATTTTTGCTTCATGTTATTATGCTTTGTTATTAGTTCATGTATTAGTTTCCTAGGGCTGCCATAACCAAGTAACACAAACTGGGTGCCATGAACAAAATACATTTATAGTCTTATAGTCCTGGAAGCTAAAAGTCTGAGATTGAGGGGTCAGCAGGGATGATCCCTTCAAGGGCTATGAGAGAAAGCCTGTTCTGTGCCTTGTTTCTCGCTTCTGATGGTTTAGTGGCAGTCTTTGGCATTCCTTGGCTAATCTCTGTCCTCATAATCACATGGTACTCTCCCTGTGTGTATGTCTCCCTCTACTCAAATTTCTTCTTTTAATAAGGACATCAGTCATATTGAATTCAGGCTCATCTGATTGTATCTTAACTTGATCAGCTGCAAAGAACCTATTTTCTAATGAGGTCATATTCAGTGGTTAGAATTTCAGCATCTATATAAAGGAAACAATTTAGCTCATATCTGTGCATACATGATTGTAATAGCTATGTCTCCCTAAAGCGTTGACCCCCTTTTTACTACAATATAAATTTTTAAAATCCTATTCACATTTTTAATAGTCTATGTTGTGTGTTATGAGTATAATGAGTTCAGTGTTCTTATGATTGCTCTTTGCATGATATTTTTTGTCATCTTTTTACTTTCAATCCATTAGTATCCTTGCATCTCAGCGTATATTGGGATCACTTGTTTTAATCCAGTCTGACTATCTCTGCCTCTGGAATGGATTTTAATCTGCTCACATTTAAGATTATAATTGGTATAATTCTATTTATGTCTGCCATTTTACCGTTTGTTTTATATATTTCTCAAATATTTTTCTTTATTGCTTTATTTTGCAATGAAAGAATATTTTCTAAAATAGGGAACTTTAGATTACTAATGAATTATTTTATTATATATTTTTGAGAATTTTTGTTGTTGTTGTAAGTTTACCATATAGGTATATGGAAAATTAATTATTCAAATCATCTTCCAATTTATACTAATAAACTTCTGGTAATACATAGAAACATCATTCTTATATAAATCTCTTTTATTTCCTCCATTTTAAAGTATTATCACTTTACACATTACATCTATTAAAGTTACAAAGCCAACAATACATTTTAGTAATTATTACTTTACCATCTAGAGTGATTACCTTATCACAATACATTTTTCTTCCAACTACCTCCTTTTTGATGTTACTGGAAAATATGTTATAGACGTATTACATTTCTACATGTCAAAAACTCAGCAATACATTATACACATATTATTATTATTATCATTGAGACGGAGTCTCCCTCTGTCACCCAGGCTGGAGTGCAGTGGCACAATCTCCGCTCACTGCAAGCTCCATTTCCCGGCTTCATGCCATTTTTCTGCTTCAGCCTCCCGAGTAGCTGGGACTACAGGCGCCCGCCATCACGCCCGGCTCATTTTTTGTATTTTTAGTAGAAACGGGGTTTCACTGTGTTAGCCAGGATGGTCTCGATCTCCTGGCCTTGTAATACGCCCGCCTTGGCCTCCCAAAGTGCTCAGATTACAGGTGTGAGCCATCGTGCCCGGCCATTATACACATGTTATTTAATAAACAATTTATGATAAAGAGAAAAAATGCATTTTTACTGTCTTTTATAATGTCAATGTTACCTATACCAGTACTTTTTTAAAAATGTGGATTCAAGTGACTGTCTTCTGTGACTTGCTTTTAGCCTTAGGAATTTATTTTAGCGTTTTTTTTTAATGTGGTAGGTCTGCCAGCAACAACTTCAGTTAATATTTCTGTTTATCTGGGTAAGTCTTTGTGTTATCTTCATTTTTGAAAAATAATTGCTGGATAAGGAATTCGTGGCCGAGAGTTTTTTTTCCTTTGCATCTTTTGAATATATTATTCTACTGCCTCTTGCCTTCCATTGTTTCTCTTAAGTCAGCTGTTAATCTTACAAAACATAGGCGCTCAAAAAATAAACATGTGCATGAATATTTACAGCAGTAATATTCATACAGTCAAAAAGTGGAAACAATCCATACGCTTGTTGACTCATAAATGGACACCCAATTTTCAGCTATAACAAAGAATGAAGTACTTATATATGTTATAATATGGGTGAAATTTGAAAGCATTATGTTAAGTGCACAAAAGGACAAATATTACTTGATTTTTTCACATGAAACATCAGGAATTGGCAAATCAATTGGGATATAAATTAAATTAGTGGTCGTTAGGGCTCAGGGAAGCAGAATAGGGTGTAACAACTTTATGCATAATGGGTTTTTGGAAGGGACATGATGAAATTGCCCTGGAACATTGTGAATATACTAAAAGCAAGTGCATTGTATGCTTTAAAATGGTTGTTATTAATTTTATATTATGTGATTTTTACCTTAAAAAAGAAAATAGCCTTACTCTATACATAATAAACTCAAGATATGTTACAAATGTACATGTGAAATCCAAAATATTATAATATTTAAGGAATAGCTAAGTAGAATAACATTGAAATTTAACATAATGAAACATTTCCTTAAAAAAGAAAAAAGCACAGTAATTAAAAAGGGAAATATATTTAATATTTTTTCTCTCCATTAAGCATGCCATTAACTGAGTAACAAATCAAGCTGCAATTATGTAAACTACATTTTCTAAAACCATAAAGAAAAGAAGAAATAAAAAGGTATTTGGGAAAAAAATCCAAAGGTACAGTCAACTACACAAAAAAAGCTTAGTCTCATTAATCATTATGAAAATGCAAATGGTAACTGAAAGAAGATAAAACTACAATTCAAAGAGAAAGCCTAACATTTCAACCCCCCAAAAAGTCTGGGTTTTGGAGATCTGGGATGGAATAGGGTTCCTAACCTGACAACAATGAAAGAACCAAACTAACTTCAAAGTCATGACTTTATTTTTAGAGCAACCAGGTTGCCAAGAACTGAGTCAAAATGTGAGGGAAAACAAGCACCTGCAAGGAGAAAGAGGACAGATGCACTTACGTAGGACAGATGCAAATAGACACCACTATGACAAGTAAAGCTGGAATAATCAATAAATTCCTAAAGACAAAGTGGGGCTGGTGAGATTGGGAGACCGCTGACAGTTGCAGAAGTTGGGAAAGATCCATCATCTTGAAAACTTTTTCCCCACAAACCCACTGTGATCTCTCAAGCAATTGGTAAGGAATCCAAGAGAGTCTGTATATGACACAGATCAGGGAGAGCAGAACACTTGGGAGGTGACCAGGTCTTGGGGGCCGAGCCCTTATGAATGGGATTAGTGCCTTTATAAAAGAAGCTCAATGGAGTTCTTGTGTGACTTCCACTGTGTGAGGACATAGAAAGAAGGCACCATCTATGATCCATGAAATGGGCTCTCATCAACACTGAATTTGTGAGCATCTTGACCTGAGATCTTACAGCCTCAAGAAGTGTGAAAAAAGAAATATCTGTTGTTTTTGAGTCACCCAGTTTATGTTATTTTGTTATAAGGGTCCAAATAGACCAAGATATTCCACTTAATATGTAGGGGAAGGCAACAAAAACTGCCACACTTAGAATACTCCTGATGCTGGGAGTATGAAAACAGGAAAAACAAAACAAAACTGCTCTTAAAGGTGAAGGAGGAATATCACTGAGCTCACCAACACAGCCAGGAAAAGAACAGAAGTGTGAGAAGGCTACATTCCTGAGACCCTGAGAAAATGTACCTGCATAAGACTGAGATGAAATTGCCTACTCTAGTTATGATTGAAATCCCAAAAAGAAAAGAGGAAAAAATAATGGAGCAAAAGAAATATATTTCAAAATAACTGCCAAAAATATTCTAAAAGAAGTGACAGAAAATCAAACTTCAGATATAGGAAACTCAGAGAATGTCAAATAGAACAAAAAGAAATAAGAATTCCGTCTTGAAAAATCTTTAAAAAATCAAGTCTAAATTTTATATCTTGCTCCAAATATATAGAGATATAAATAGGTTATCATCAAGATATGGAGAAAGCCATATCATGGAAACACTAAAATAAGGCTGTGGAAGGACTACATTGATATTAGACACAACAGAGTTCGGAACAAGAAATAGTATCAGAGATGAGAGATAATAGATAATAGAATAATCAATTCTCAAGAAGATGTAAACATCCTACTAATTAGGGTATGCAGCTAACAACAGAGCCTCCAAATACGTGAGGTAAAACATGAAAGAAATCAAAGGTGAACTAGAAAAATCCAAAATTATATTTGCAGACTTCAACACTTTTGTCTTAGTAATGGAAAGACTAGGCACAAACTCAGTAATCATGTGGAAGATAAGAACAACAATATCACCAACAAGACATCCAATCTTCAATGGCAGCTACTCTTTCCTTTCAAGTGAAAAAAAAACAGTATGGCATATTCTCTAACAAACACAGAATTTCTAATGTTTGCGGTCTTCCTTCTTTCCATCTTCCTTTGTCTTCTCTTCCCTTCCCTTGCCTTCTTCCTTCCTTTCTTCTTTTCCTCTTCCTTTTCTTTTCTTTTTTCTTTTCCTTTCTTTCTTTTCTTTTTTCTCCTTCCTTCTTTCCTTCTTTCTTTCTTTCCTCTTATTCTTCCTTCCCTCCTCCCTCCCTTCCTTTCTCCCTCCCTTTTCTTCCTTCTTTTCTCGTATTCTTTCTTTCTTTCTCACGTTGTTGCTTTCTTTCCTTTTTTCTCCCTTCCTCCCGCCCTCCTCTTCTTCCTTCCTCCCTCCCTTCCTCTCCTCTTTTTCCTTCCTTCCTTTGCCTCTTTATTTTCTTTGTTTCTTTGCCTTCCTCCCTTTTACCATTCTCTCTTCCTCCTTTTCTTCCTCCCTTCCTCCTTTCTTTCTTTCTCTCTTTCTCTCTTTCTTTCTCTTTCTTTCTTTCTTTTCTTTCCTTCCTTCTTTCTTGTGTTCATGTTTTCTTTTTTCTCCCTTCCTGCCTTTCTCCCTTCCTCCCTCCCTCCCTTCCTTCCCTCATTTCCTCCTCCTTTTCTTTCTTCTTTCTTTATTTCCTTCCTTCTTTCCTTCCTTCTTTTTCTTTGTTTTCTTTTCTTTCTCTTTACTACAATTCATATTATTTTTAAAAAATTAAGAGAGGGAGACAGAAAAATAAAGAACGCTTTAATCTGCAGGTAAGTAGATTATGTCTGCTGCAGGCAAAAGAATGGCCTCCCCAAAATTTTCATGTCCTAATTCCCAGAGTCTAACATACAAATATGTTAGGTTGCACGGCAGTGTGAAATTAGATTTCAAGTGAAATTAAGGTTGCGGAAAAATGATAGAGAGATTGTCTTAAATGGGTGGGATCAATGAAATCACAAACTTCCTTATAAGTGAAAGAAGAAGACAGAAGAAATGCAACCTTGGAGGTGGTGGCATGAGAAATTACTCAACATCACTGACTTTTAAGATACAAGAATGAGGACCCAGCGCGGTGGCTCACGCCTAATCCCAGCACTTTGGGAGGCTGGGGTGGGTGGACCACGAGGTCAGGAGATCGAGACCATCCTGCGTAACATGGTGAAACCCCATCCCTACTAAAAATACAAAAAATTAACTGGGCATGGTGGCAAGTGCCTGTAGTCCAAGCTACTCATGAAGCTGAGGCAGAAGAATCACTTGAACCCGGGAGGCAGAGGTTGCAGTGAGCTGAGATCATGCCACCGCACTCCAGCCTGGGTGACAGAAGGAGACTCCATCTCAAAAAAAAAAAAAAAAAAAAGAAAAATAGGATATAAGAATGAGGTCATGTTCCAAGGAATAAAGGTGGCCTCTGGATGCTGAAAAAAATCAAGTAATAGATTCTGCCACATAGCCCTCAGAAAGACTGCAGCCCTGCCCAAAACTTGATGTTAGCCCTGTGAGTTTCATTCAAGTCTTCTGAACTACAGAACTGTAGGATTAACGGTCACTTTATTGTAAGATATGAAGTTTGTGGTAATTGGTTACAGCAGCAAGAGGAAGTTTATATTGTAATTGTATCATGAAAATGAGAACCATAATTTACAACTGCTTTTAATACTGCACTTGGATGTTTGAAATCACGTACGTGGAAATGATCTCTATGTGCATGAGGGAGGATAGCAAATTGATGCCAAAATAATGCAAATGCAAATCTTACACACATTTCTATGTAGGTTTCATTTAATCTTTGAAATTAAAATGAAATTAAAAGACTGTGATATTTTGATGAAATTAGACTAAAATGAACAATAACAAAATAAGAACTCATATTCTTTATATGGTCAATAAAGAAGTGATAGTGGAAAAAAACAAGATCAAATGAAGGTGATGATTTAGGAAGCTGGAAAGATAGCTGAAACTACAAAATGGTATATAACCAGTGAACACTTAGACACACTGATTGATGAACTTCAGCTTTAGCTTGGTGAGAGCATAAAATGAGAGCAGCTGAGGTTTGCAAATTTGTAATCTCCTTGTGGAAAAACAGGGGAAAACACATCTCAGCCTAATAAGATTTATCTACTAAGGAGTCTAGACTTGGTCCATTTGTCCTTGTAATTCAAAAGCTAATTCAAATACTGATTTGATGTATTGTGTGAACAACCATTGCTGATTATCATCGCATATCTGGCATTCTCTTTTATCTGATATCTAAAATATTTGGTAATTCCTGGACTTTCTCTTTTCAAACCCAGTACGGTTTAATTTGAGTCTTAGAACAGTTGTCTTTGAGAAATTCTTCCCTCTACTGCATCTGTGAATGGGCATAGCATGGTTACATACATACTGTCACTCCATAGAACATTTGTTAAATTAAAGCCAAAGTTTAAAGCAACAGCTTTAACTCACTGGTTTTACTAATGTTTTCCTCCCCAATAGCCACAACAATATTGATACCCTCACACCTTTTAACATAAAGCTTGGTGTTGTCTATTTTTCAGGTGTTGTCGTCTATATGATCTCAGTATTTTAAAAATCAGCTTCCGGCCCATATGGTGGTTCATGCTTGTAATACCAGCAGTTGAAGAGGCTGAAATGAGAGGATTCCTTGAGCCCAGGAGTTCAAAAGCAACCTGGGCAACATAGCAAGACCCAGTCTCTATCAAAAGTTAAAAAAATAAAAAGTGGGCATGGTGGTGTGCACCTGATGTCCTAGCTATTTGGGAGGCCAAGGTGGAAGGATTGCTTGAGCTTGGGAGGTTGAGGCTGCAGTGAGCAGTGATTGCACCACTGCACTCCAGCCTGGGCAAAAAACCAAGACCCTATCTCAAAAAATATATATAATAAAAATAAAAATCAGCTCTCATTGATTTCTATGTAAATATGCACAGGTGATGTCCATATAGACATAAATAATAATATTTCTGACAATGGGTCCATATGATCTTCAACATGTAAAATGCTTATCTGTGTAATTGACTGGTTAGTCTCATTAATGAATGTAGATTCAATTCTACTTTCTTGTTCTAGATAAATTATATAATCTAGCTTTTCATTTCACTTATTTACTGATAACAAGAGGAAGAATGACAAGATATCTATTTTGGAAAATTACTCTGGTAGGAGTAAAGATGAAACAATGATAGAATTGCACAGAAAACTAGAAAAAAGTATGGTCTTCTGATATTCTATCACATCACATACTAAAGGCCTCATAAAACTCAGATATTTTATCTAAAAATGTTATTTTCATCATAGGAATGATCAAAGCATGAGACTACAATTGTATTAAAATGTGCTTGTATCACAAGCACTGGTGCTAAAAAGGAGGGGAAAACATCATTACTGATATTTTCAATGTATGTTTTACTTTTCATCAACATGAACCTCAACTTGATATGATGCAAATTGAAGGAAATCACCCATAATTCCATATGAAAAAGGCCTGTGATATTTTATGGGAAAATAAACAGAGAAAATGCTAACAGAAACCCTATTAAGCATGAAGCTTTATGGAGCAAACACAAATCCAGTGGTGAAAGATACACACTCGAGTTCTCTTTGTTGTCTTGGAACAATACGGTTTAGAGGTGACTGGCGGGTGAGGAGAACATATGCGAGTTCACCAAAGAGAAAAGCTGAATGAGGCAATGCCTCTTCCTGACCATATCTCTTACTCAGATAACTATATAATTTATTGTCCAGTAAAGGGAATATTAAAAAATCATATTAAAAGTCATGCAGTGAAGTTGTCCAGGGAAATCAAGACTTAACAGTCTCACTCTGACAATAATGAACAGGGGGATTCCCTCAAGATAGACTAGGACATGACCCCACACTGGCAGATAGTAGTATCAGAAAAGAACCCATGGAAAATCTTTACCTTATGCTTGAGGTAGGGACCAGGCTAAAGTGAAAGCCAGACATAAAATTCTATCTAAAATAAATCCACAATCGAAGAAAATATGTGGTGTACAGGCATAGAATGTCTTTACTGGATCATTGAAATAGTAAGATAAATTCAACTTTTTACATTGTTTTCTTTTCCTCCAGTTAGGGCTTGAGGTTTGTCTCTGGAGAGTGACTGTGAATTGGAGCCCTGCCTTTCTGGGGTTCTGGTCAGGGGGTTGTGGATGCTTAACATGTGCCTTTCACAGGACACTTCCTTACCCCAGCAGTGGCCAGATGTGCATCCCACGACCAAGCCTCCCTCTCACAGAACATCTGTTGAGACTAGGAGATGCCTGGTGACTGTTGCCTGACCTGTGTCCTGTGTATTTCTGACAAGAGCCACTCTCAGAGACCCTGGCCAGGAGGAGAGTTAGGTTCCAGTGTAGGTCAGCTCAGACCCATGGAGGCCACAGAACCAAACATGGGAAATCACAGAAGTAGGTTTATTACTCACAGATCCAGAGAGAAGAGGGTAGCTGAGAAGAGGGTTTAGCTGTGTCCCCAGCCAAATCTCATCTTGAATTCCCACATGTTGTGGGAGGGAACAGATGGGAGGTAATTGAATCATGGGGGCAGGTCTTTCCCATGCTGTTCTTCTGATAGTGAATAAGTCTCACAAGATCTGATGGTTTTATAAAGGGGAGTTTCCCTGCACAAGCTCTCTTGTCTTGTCTGCTGCCATGTGAGACGTGCCTTTCACCTTGCACCATGATTGTGAGGCCTACCCAGCCATGTGGAACTGTGCGTCTATTAAAACTCTTTCTTCTGGAAATTACACAGTCTTGGGCATGTCTTTACCAGCAGTGTGAAAACGGACTAATACAGTAGCACACCTCATAGGGCTGAACAAAATGGGGAAGATGAGTGGGGAGCAGGAGAGAGAAAAGGGGTCTGTGGGACTCCAGCCTTCATTCGGCCCAGAACATTACCCAAATAAGTTTTCCACGGGGCACTAGTCTGTGGGGTGAGTGCCAGCAGGCACATTTCTTGACTCCCGCTGCAACCGAGCAGGTCACTCTGGCGTGTGGGGGCTGTCCATGTGCGCTGTGAGGTCTGTGGGGTGAGTCAGGTAGGTTGTATCCAACGGTTCCATAGCTGGTAGTCACCAGGAGGAGGCAACTGTGTAGGGTCAATATCTAGGCCAGCCACACTGAGGAACTGTGAGGGTTAGAATTGGAAATTGTCAAGGGAATCTGAACCCAGCTACCATATGAGAGAGTTCAACTTATGTTCAATGTGAATGCCATGGCAATATTAAAAGGTAAGAATTCGCTCCATACGTGCTTGAGGTAAATAGGAGAAACCTAGAATTTATGTAAACAGTGAGAAGATTGGATGCGTTTTCCGTCACATATTTTAATACTAGCAGCATATTATATATGTCAATCCATCAGGCATTCAGAAATACATGCTTATGAAAATTTTTTGCACCATCAGACAAAAGACAAGGGTAGAAGACATTTGTAACCCTATAAACACTAGTAAATTAAAAACAGAAGAACCTTTATGTCCTAACATATCTGTGTTGTGAAAGGCTGCCCTGCG
>NT_187373.1:0-38054 GCF_000001405.40 Homo sapiens
AGGATCCTCTTCCTCATCCACAGATCCAACAGCCGGTAACATTCCGGCCTACAGCACGTCCCTACCTCAGCTGAACCGCTGGGACCAACACGCCGTACCGCAGCCGCGCACGCCCAGCACGCCACTCCCGGCCTGGCCGGGGCCTGACGTCATCACATCGCGACGCTAGCTGATCCCGCCCGGATTACCTGGGCTCTGGACGAGAACTGCCTCGTCCCTTAGCCACACCCCCCGGGGAGGTGGGCTCTCCCCGACGACAGCTGGACACGCCCCTGGGCGTGTTCTGTGAACCTGAGCGACGCTGCGGAGAGTCCTTAGGGCGCACTAACCACCTGTCTGAAGGTGTCACTGGCGCCTAGAGCCTTAATAAGCTACTGGCTGTAGGTAGAGCTGAGGCCAGCCTGCTGGAAATCTGGAGTGGGTAGCCTGACCTAACCAGTTCCCACAGGGCATAGATTTTATCAACTTGATTTTTTAGTCTCGTTAAAAAAAAAAGTTTTAATTCATAGGGGAAAGAATGGAAGGTTATAACATTACAATTTTAATTGTAATTTTTATACCTGAAGGATAACCAGTGACAATTTTTTCTTTTTTTATTATTACATATTATATATGTAATTCCAAATTTTTAGTATTCATGCATCACTTTTATTTACTTTTTTCTCATTATTTATTTGGACCTCAGGTAACCTAAGTTCATTAATCATATTTGCTGGTGCATGACACTCTCATCACTAATCCATAGATAGCCCTTCTTTCTAATATAAATTTATAGTGAACTCCTTTGACCTCATTCCTAACATAAAAGCATTACCAGTAAGCTACACGTACCTATGTGCACCGCCCCCGCTTCCAATCCACAGCCTGCCCCATAAGATAGTAACAACAGTCATGAATTGGTTCTGGATTGCTGATCCTTCCCTGTTTTCTTTTTAGTTTTATCACATATCCCACGTATGTACTTAGAGAATATGTTGTTTAATTTTGGGTGTTTTTGAGCTTCATAAAATTATCCATATAATATATAAACTCCTGAGGCTTGCTATATTTTTCAGCATCACTGCTGTCTTGTATTCTATTGTGTGGCTACACGGCAATTTATTCATTTCCTCTCAATTGTTCCAGGTTTTGCTCTTATGAACAGGGCTGCTATGAACATTTTTCCTGACATATGTGTGTGCAACTTCCTCTTGAGTGTCTAAGAGTTGAATTGCTGGGTCCTAGATTATTCAAATGTTTTACTTCACAAGAAAATGCACAATTATTTTTCAAAATGTTTGTACAAATTGATACATTTTCCCAGCAAATTATAAGAGATCTCATTGGTCTGTATGTCAATATTATCAGGCATGCATTTTTCACCAATCAATTGAGTACAAAAGAAGACTTCATTGTGATCTTCATTTGCATTTCCTTGATTACTAACAAGGTTGAGAATCTTTTCATGTGTTTTGGCAATATGTAATTCTTAGAATGACCCTGTAGAGTGTTATCCCTCTTTCAAACATGAGGCACCAAGAGTTAAGTTACTTGTCCAGGTTAGGTCATAAAAATCTATCTGATGCACAAGTAGAATGTTTTACTACTATCCTGATGCCAAATAAAAGGTTGACTTTTCCTTCCTTCTCTGAAATTCCCCATAAAATATACTGTGTGTATTCCATTAGTTCTACTGATAAGTACATATAACTTGAAAGTATTTATCACGCCTTTTGCAGAACACAGTTAAGACAGAGGGTTTATATTTGTGCAAATGAGTATATTATATTCACACATACACTCGGTCTGAGAAATCAGGTCTTGAATGCTTTGCCAGCTTTGACAATGTAACCATGAACCAGCTGAGGAAGAAATAAGGCAAATACCTTAGGTGTGGTGGTTCAGTTCACTGTATTCTGCCAAAGGAGAGAAGCTGTGATGGGTAGCCCAAAATAGATAGCTTACGCCCTAAACACAATGGTTCATAAGCTTTTTCGTTTCAGGAATGCTATGAAGTATTGATTTTTTTGGCAACCTAAGGGAAGGAGTAACATTGCACCCACAGGCATCACACTATTTGCTTGATGTCCCTTCAGCACTGCATTACTGCCTGAATAGCAGCTATTACAGCCCTCACCATCTTCTTTGACATATTTTTAAAAGTACATTCTTGTGGGTTCCCAATATGGCACTGGCTGAATGTTATACTAAAATCCCTCTTTCTGTTTTTTGAGACAGGGTCTCACTCTGTCGCCCAGCATGGATTGCATTGGCACGATCACAGCTCACTGCAGTCCTAAACTCCTGGGCTCAAGTGATCCTCCCATCTCAGCCTCCCAAGTAGCTGGGACTCCAGTCATATGCCATTACATCTGGCTAATTTTTCTTTTTCTTTTTGGTAGAGACAGGGTCTCACTATGTTGTCCAGTCTGGTCTAAAGTCTCATCTCTAACAATGAACAACCTGTAACCTATGAGGCCAGCTCAGTCAAGTTGACCAAATAGCATTGTTGTAACAGTATGTAGCCTCAATGAGAGCAAAATAAGTTTTACACATTGGCCAAAAATTAAATGCACCACAAATATCTATCAACTGATAGACAACCAAAATGTGACAAATGGATAAACAAAATATGATCTATCCGTACAATGGAAAATTATTTGGCAATAAACAGGAAAAAGGACTGATACCTGCTACAAAATGAATCAATCTTGAAAACATTATGGTAAGTGAAAAAAGCTATTCACAAAAGACCACATGTTGTATGATTCCATTTATATAAAATAACCAAAATAGGCAAATCTATAGAGACAGAAAGTACATTAATGGTTCCCAGGAGTGGAGGACTGGGGAGAGACTACAGTGGTTTTTGGGCGGTGATGAAAATGTTCTAAAATTGATTATGGTGATGGTAGTACAACTCTGATTATACTGAAAACCATTGACTTGTACACTTTAAATTGGTGAATTGTATCATATGTGAAATTTATCTCAATAAAGCTGCTATTCTTAAAAGAAATAAACACCTATCTGTGCATCAAAATGGGGTGCCTGTGTGCATTTGTAGAGAAACACTGTCTTCAGCAGTTTCAAGTTCTGGCCTTAGGCACAAGTATAAAGATTACAGCTTGATAAAATTTTTCCTTTAGTCTGTTCCATATTCCTCTTCAGTTAAATTTTTATCTATGGATTCTGTGGAGTCCTGTCATTTTATTTTCTCAGATAGAGTTGTAATTTCAGTTCTCCCAAAATAGCTGGGCATGACTTTTTATTTTTATTTCTTTTTTCTTTTTGAGATGGAGTCTTGCTCTGTTGCCGAGGCTGGAGTGCAGTGGCACGATCTTGGCTCACTGCAACCTCTGCCTCCGGGTTCAAGCGATTCTCCTGCCTCAGCTTCCTGAGTAGCTGGGATTACAGGTATGCACCACCACCCCCAGCTAATTTTTGTATTTTTAGTAGAGACGAGGTTTCACCACGTTAGCCAGGCTGGTCTTGAACTCCTGACCTCCTGATCCATCCACCTCAGCCTCCTAAAGAGCTGGGATTACAGGCGTGAGCCACTGTGCCGGGCTTTTTTTTTTTTTTTAACTTATAAGAGGGTTAAATTGTTAAATTGTTAAATTGAAAATGCCTTTTTAAATAAGTATGAAATTTCTTAATTATAATATTTTAGAATCTATTACAGTTTCTGATGTATCTTAAAAATTCCTCCTCATCTAGCTTTGCTATTTTGTCTCATTTACTTTAGGGTAAAACAACAACAGCAACAACAATAATAATGTTTTGAGCCCCTAAGCATCTGATAGGCACTGTGTTAAGCACATTAAATGCATTATCCCATTTAACTCTCCAAGGTAAATACTATTTGTGTGCCCATTTTATAGATGAGGAAATTGAGGCTTAGAAAAGATAAATACCTTGCTCAAAGTCATACAATCAGTAAATGGCAGCCCTTGGGCTCAATCCAAACCTGCCTGACACTAAATCTCCTGCTCTTTTAAACCAGAAGATCTGCAAACTCTTCTGTAAAACTAGATGATAAATATCTTAGTCTTTACAGATCAAAAAGCAAATTTGAGGACATTGTGTAGGTACTTATATAATAAGAGAGAGAGCAAATGTCTACAAGTTTGAAATTTGAATTTCATGTATTAAACAAAATTATGAGAGGCCATTGTTTTGGACTGAGCTCCTGCACTAATCCCAAGCAGACCAGACCAAACCAAAATGGAGTCGCTCATGCTAAGCACCACAAAATCAAACTAAAACTTTAAAAAACAGGTCCCAAAATAGACGAGTTTTTTTTTTTCTTCTCCTGAAGACAGAAGATTCCAGTATAATAAGGAAGTCCCCTCTGCTCTATCCCTTACAGAAAAGTAACCCAAAGTAACAACAGATTACTTACAAAAAAGCAATCTCAGCCAGACACAGTGGCTCATGCCTGTAATCCCAGCGCTTTGGAAAGCCAGGGCGGGTGGATCACCTGAGGTCAGGAGCTTGAGATCAGCTTGGCCAACGTGGCAAAACCCCGTCTATACTAAAAATACAAAAATTAGCTGGGTGTGGTGGCACACGCCTGTAGTCCCAGCTACTTGGGAGGTTGAGGCAGAAGAATTGCTTGAACCCGAAAGGTGAGGTTGCAGTGAGCCAAGATTGTGCCACTGCACTCCATCCTGGGTGACAAAAAAATAAAAAAGTAATCTGATGTTAACCAATCAGTTTTTTTTTCTATACTGTTTCCTTGTTCCCACCTTACAAAATCCAGTGTTCTGCTATTTTCCAATGGGATTAGAGACCAAATAACTCTATTTATGATGATAAAAAGTGATGTCAGTGCCTAAAGTTTTGGGCAACCTCAAAATTAATCATCCTCTCAAAATTGACAGGTTGACCAAAAGGAGGAATTGTTAAATTCATTGTGGCCTAAAGCTGCCTCCTTACATAATTTAAGTTTACCCTAAAGGTTTCCCAGTACATAAAAAACTATATTTCAACTTGATATGTAAAACTTGATATGTAACCTACTCTTGTAACAAGTAGTGAGTCTCAGCCAATCACAGCAGCTGAACTTCAGCCAACCACAGGCAGCCAACTCTTCAAACCAGGTTCAAATAAGGCAAATGCTCAGCTGTAACCAACCCTACTCTGGTTCTGGGGGCTGCCTAATTCACAGATCATTCTTTACTCAATTAAACTCTAAAGTTTTCCTTTCAACATGTATAATTTTCACATCACGAAATAATAATCTTCTTTAATTTTTTTTCCAATGTATTAAAAATGTAAAAACCATTTGCAGGCTACACAATAAATGGTAGCAGGCTATAGATTCCCAACTCCTGATCTAAGCTAATATAATATACTGTTTTCTTAAGCAGAGTTAATGAAATTTTGCGAAATTGGATCCTCCTTGCTCTTTTAAACTCAGTTTGTAAATCACTCACCATTAAAACAATCCTGGACCCTCAAAGGGTTAGGTACCACTGTGCCAATTACCACAGTGCTAATATTCAGAGGAAGATCTGAAGCTGAGAAGCTTAAACTTTTTTCCCAAGGTCACTAATACCTGGCCTGGGAAAGACCTAATTAAGGTGAAACTTGAGTCTTTGCATTGTAGTAGGAGTCCTCCTAGGTGGAGCAGAGCAGAGCAGATAAGCTCTTAAACTGTCTGGATTTCAGCAGCTCAGCTTTCTGACAATAACCTTGCCATATGTCCTTTGGCACAATTCCCTACTAATTCCCTACTACTCCCCTTTGCTTGGTTCTTCTCTCTTGAATAGTTATGTTAATCACCATAAGAAAAAGAACTGTAGCTATATCCAAATAAGAAGAAAGCTAAAAATAATACCAACTTGGTTTTGTTTTTCGTTTTTTTCTTTCTCATTTTTGCAACTTCCTGCAAAGGAAACAACATACTAGTGGCCAGCAATAGCTACTGGTTTAGAGGAAAGGAAGCTGAGAGTTTCAAAATTAACCCAGTTCCTCTTATCTAGCTGTGGCAAGTAAATAAATAAAATATTTTTAAATGTTTAAAGTTTATCAGTTTATTTAACATTTTTCATTGGGTACACATGAACTTGTTGGGAACATATCTAAAAGGCCAGAGGTCAATGGCTTGTATTCTTGTGACTGCTTTGGTTAAGGTTGAATATCAATATTCAAGTGTCATATAGTCGTCTTTTAAGATATACAACCACTGTAAGGACAGGAAAGAATATTTCCTCTCCAGAATACTGAAGATGACTAGCAGGTGAAAAATGTACATTTCAATGTTTTTAGGGGCTGTGACATTAAAGGCTGTGAGTAACATTGTTTGAATTCATTATCTTTGGTGGTTAAACCATGCTATTAATAAGTCTTAGCTTACAGTTGAGTCACTTGTAAGTCAGCTTGCCATGAAATTAAAAAAAAAAAAGAAAACACCATTCAAAGCCCTCAAGCTGACAAGTTGAGTGGTGCACCAATCTCTCTAAAAGAAACTATATTTTAGATACTATAGGAGTGGTGGAATGACAGGAGTGGAGGTTGGGCAAAATGAAAAAAAATGTTTTGCAATGATGTATGGTGTAATAGTTTAGGAGAGAGTCTAAATAATTTCTTCCATTGTCATTAGAAATTTTAAATGGACATTTGTGGCTATAAGTTTCACTTTCTAATTTTTATAGTGTTAGAGAAGCATATTCCAAAATCCATAGGCACCTGCTCATAATTCCTTACACGTAAGTAAAAGGCATGAAACAAATGATCCATCTCCATTCTTCCTTCCCCTTTCTATTCCCTCGAAGAGTGTTTAATCATACTTAATTGAAATACCATGCTACTGGCAAAGCCAGGTCTTTCTGGCTTCAAGACCAGGGTCTTTTGAGTCCTATAGCTCCGTCCTTCAGTCATTGTCTTAGACCTTTTGTGCTGCTATAACAAAATATCCAATACAGGGTAATTTATAAATAATAAAAATTTATTTCTCACAGTTCTAGAGGCTATGAAGTCCAAAATCAACGTGCCAGGAAGTTTGTGTCTAGTGAGGGCTGGTCTCTGCTTCCAAGATGGTACCTCAAAAGCTGTGTCCTCCTGAGGGGATGAACACTGTGTGTTCACCTGGCAGAAGGAGACAGAAATAAGCTTTCACATTGTTTAAGTTTCTGTTTATGCCACTGAAACTAATCCTAACCAACTTATTTGATTAATTGTTTTTTAAATAATATAAGTAGGCTGTGCACAGTGGCTCATGCCTGTAATACAAGCACTTTGGGAGGCTGAGGGGAAAGGATCTCTTGAGGCCAGGAGTTCAAGGTCAACCTGGGCAACATAGCAAGACCCTGTTTCTACAAAAATTTTAAAACTTAGCTGGGCATGGTGGCATGCACCAGTAGTCCCAGCTACTCAGGAGGCTGAGGTGGGAGGATCACGCAAGCCTAGGAGTTTGAGGTTACAGTGAGCTATGATCACTGCACTGCACTCCAGCCTGGGTGAGAGAGAAAGACCTTGTTTCTTATTAAAATATATATAGACACACATATATATATATGTGTGTGTATGTGTATATATATAGTATTTATATATAAATTATGTATTATACCTGAATGTATTATAACTATAAAAAATTCAAACAGTAGAAAAGTATTAGGGTAAAACGTGGAGTATCTTTCACTAACCTCAATTTTACTTCCCTTCACCGATATTATATAAACACTGTGAGCAATTTAATAGACATAGGTCCAGATTTTTTTGGTCCAATATTACCTTTGCCCCTGCCATGTTAGGTATTTTTCTGTAGGAGAAGCAAGATTCCCTCCTGAAAGAATATTCCTGTTTAGACTAAGTCTTATGTATATGAATATATGTATTTGCATACATGTGCATTCATAAAATTATAACAGAAAGATAGAGTACATTTGTATACATATGTGGCTTTTGTTTTTAATAAATAGGAACATACATAGGCTTTGTTCTGGAGCTTGCTTTCTTCACTTGACAATATGCACTGATACTCTTTCCTTCTCACTAGAATTAGAAATACATCATTCATCATTTTTTTTTTTTTTTGAGACGAAGTTTTGCTCATGGTGTCCAGGCTGGAGTACAATGGTGCAGTCTTGGCTCACTGCAACCTCTGCCTCCAAGGTTCAGGCAATTCTCTTGCCTCAGCCTCCCAAGTAGCTGGGATTACAGGCACCCGCCACAACGCCTGGCTAATTTTTGTATTTTTAGTACAGATGGGGTTTCACCACATTGGCCAGGCTGGTCTTGAACTCCTGACATCAGATAATCCACCTGCCTCGGCCTCCCAAAGTGCTGGGATTACAGGTGTGAGCCACCATGCCAGACCATACATCACTCATTTTTTAAACCACTTCATGTTATTCCATAATAGAGATGTAACTATTTCATCATATCTTCAAAAGGGACATAAAGATTGACTAACTACCTCTTCAAAACATGCTCGAAAGTAAATTCAACATATTATCAAGAAATATAAGAAAGTAAGTTGATTAGCTTGTATGTTTAATAATAAACTTTATTCTTATTCTCCTTTGATATTTTAGACTGGTTAGCTTCGCTTATTAAATTAGTTTACTTCAGTTATGGAAATATCAAATTCAATATATTTTAATATTAATTTCTTATTAACAGTTCTGGTTACTTATAATTAATATGATTCTACCCATATGCTTTATTTTTATAGCAAACTCATATTTTGGATTGTGTATTGCTATCCATAAATTTACACATGTACTTTCATAATTTAATTGTGGTTAATGAGTTTTTGGCAGCAGTATACAATACACAGATTAAAATTAATTCTGAACTGATGCTAGAAGAAAGATGAGTTCACATATTGCATCTTGATAATAGTGCTGGTTTGTGCCTAAAGTATAGCTTAGCTATTCATATCCCTGGGTAATACCACTGGTAGGCCGGGTACGGTGGCTCACATCTGTAATCCCAGCACTTTGGGAGACCAAGACAGGTGGATCACCTGAGGTCAGGAGTTTGAGAACAGCCTGACCGACATGGTGCAACCGTGTCCCTACTAATAATACAAAAATCTGCCGAGTGTGATAGCACACTCCTGTAATCCCAGCTACTCGGGAGGCTGAGGCAGGAGAATCGCTTGAACCTAGGAGATGGAGGTTGCAGTGAGCCAAGATCATGCCATTGCATTCCTGCCTGGGCAATAACAGAGAAACTCCATCTCCAAAGGAAAAAAAAAGAAAAAAGAAACTTTTAGTAAGCAGAATATTATTAATCTATATGCTTTTACATCATAATGGTTCCTTTTACTTCATGTATTTTTGTTCATGAAATTCTGTAAATCATACAAGCTACAGATGGTGACAGCAGTAGAAATATAAATTTTAGCACACTTGTGTATGCATTAATATGTTCAAAATATATAAAGAAATGGTATTTATATAAATAAATACATATAATTATTTGATCATAATCAGAGGTTAACATGGGTTACCTTTTGGGGAGAGGAAACAGCAGAGGTGATATGGTTGGCAGACAAAGAGGGTATGGAGAAGTAATCTCCCACTGTATTAGTCTGTTTTCACATTGCTGGGCAATTTGCAAAAGAAAGAGGTTTATTGGACTTACAGTTCCACATGGCTGGAGAGGCCTCACAATCATGGCAGAAGGTGAAAGGCATGTCTCACCTGGAAGCAGACAAGAGAAGAGAGCTTGTGCAGGGAAACTCCCCTTTTCAAAACCATCAGATCTCATGAGACTTGTTCACTATCACAAAAACAGCATGAGAAAGGCCTGCCCCCATGATTCAGTTACCTCCCACCGGGTCCCTCCCACAATACATGGGAATCCAAGATGAGATTTGGGTGGGGACACAGCCAAACCATACCATTCCACCCCAGCCCCTCCCAAATCTCATGTTCTCACATTTTAAAATGAGTCATGGCTTCTCAACCGTCTCCCAAAGTCTTAATTCATTTCAGCATTAATTCATTTCAGTGTTAACTCAAAAGTCCACAGTCCAAAGTCCAAAGTCTCATCCGAGACAAGGCAAGTCCCTTCCACCTATGGGCCTGTAAAATCAAAAGCGAGTTAGTTACTTCCTAGATATAATGGAGGTACAGCATTAGTAAATACAGCCATCCCAAATGGGAGAAATTGGCCAAAACAAAGGGGATACAGGCCCCATGAAAGTCTGAAATCCAGTGGGACAGTCAAATCTTAAAGCTCCAAAATGATCTCCTTTGCCTCCATGTCTCACATCCAGGTCATGCTGATGCAAGGGGTTGGTTCCTATGGTCTTGGGCAGCTCTGCCCCTGAGGTTTTGCAGGGTACAGCCTCTCTCCAGGTTGCTTTCACAGGCTGGCATTGAGTGTCTGTGGCTTTTCTAGGTGCACAGTGCAAGCCGTCCATGGATCTACCATTCCAGGGTCTAAAGAACAGTGGCCCTCTTCTCACTGCTCCACTAGATGGTGCCCCAGTAGGTACTCTGTTTGGGGGCTCCAATCTCACATTTCCCTTTCACACTGCCCTAGCAGAGGTTCTCCATGAGGGACCCACCCCTACAGCAAACTTCTACATCTTCTGATATCTAGGAGGAGTTTCCCAAACCTCAATTCTTGACTTCTGTGCACCCGCAGGCTCAAAGCCATGTGGAAGCTGCCAAGGCTTGGGGCTTGCACCCTCTGAAGCAACAGACAGAGCTGTACTTTGGCTCCTTTCATTCATGGCTGGGATGCAGGGTATGAAGTCCCTAGACTGCATACAGCAGAGGGACCCTGGGCCTAGCCCACAAAACCACTTTTTCCTCCTAAACCTCTGGGCCTGTGATGGGAGGGGTTGCCATGAAGAACTCTGACATGCCCTGGAGACACTTTCCCCATTGTCTTGGGGATTAACATTCAGCTCCTTGTTACTTATGCAAATTTCTGCAGCCAGCTTGAATTTCTCCTTAGAAAATGGGATTTTCTTTTCTAGCACATTGTCAAGCTGCAAATTTTCCAAACTTTTGTGCTCTGCTTCCCTTATAAAACTGAATACCTTTAACAGCAGCCAAGTCACCTCTTGAATGCTTTGCTGCTTAGAAATTTCTTCTGCCAGGTACCCTAAATCATCTCTCTCAAGTTAAAAGTTTCACATATATCTATGGCAGGGGCAAAATGCCCCTAGTATCTTTACTAAAACATAAGAAGAGTCACCATTGCTCCAGTTCCCAACAAGTTTCTTGTTTCCATCTAAGACCACCTCAGCCTGGACTTTATTGTCCATATCACTATCAGCATTTTGGGCAAAGTCATTCAACAGGTCTCTAGGAAGCTCCAAACTTTCCCACATATTCCTGTCTTCTGAGCCCTCAAAACTGTTCCAACCTCTGCTTGTTGCCCAGTTCCAAAGTTTCTTCCACATTTTCAGGTATCTTTTCAGCAGCGCCCCACTCTACTTGTACCAATTTACTGTATTGTTTCATTTTTATGCTGCTGATAAAGACATACCTGAGACTGGGCAATTTGCAAAAGAAAGAGGTTTATTGGACTTACGGGTCCGCATGGCTGGGGAGGCCTCACAATCATGGCGGAAGGCAAAAGGCACATCTCACATGGAACCAGACAGGAGAAGAGAGATTATGCAGGGAAACTCACCTTTTTAAAACCATCAGATCTTGTGAGACTTTTTCACTATCCCAAGAACAGCACAGGAAAGACCTGCCCCCATAATTCAATTACCTCCCACCGGGTCCCCCCACAACACATGGGAATTCAAGATGAGATTTGGGTGGGGACACAGCCAAACCATATCACCCCCCCAAAAAAAAATCCCGTTTAGATTAAGTTTTATGTTTATGAATATATGTATATGCATACATGTGCATGCAGAAAATTATAACAGAAAGATAGAGTATTACATATGTAAATATGTATTTTTTATATGTACTGATTTGTAGAATAACAATTATAAGTGATATAAGGTGAAAGAAGCAATTTGTTCATAAGTATGTAGTATGATTCCATTTCAGTAAAAATTAACAAAAACATGCTTGTATGTGCATGGGCATATATTAATATGTGCTCATATATATATATGCTATACATATATATATATATATATGTATGCTGATATATGTATGTGGAAGCAATATGTTTGTGATGATACACACCCTTGCAATAACATGAACTACCTCAGGGAGTACTATAGATGACAGAGACAATGGGGGAAGAGGAGCAATGTTACCTTAAAAAAAAACTTGGCATCCTATTACTGGTTACAAGAGGCATATAAAATTATTTTTAAAATTTTAAATAAATATGTTAGCAACCTTTGTATGGATGGAAAATTTTAAATATGTATGAAAATACTGATTGCGTATACCTTTTGAAATTCTACTGATAGGGATTTATCCCACATATTTACATATACAAACATTTATGACATTCATAGCACTATTGTTTTAAAGGTGAGATGTTGGAAACATCCTAGCTATTTAACTATAGGGGAATGGCTAAATAAGTTTGGCTCACTCAAAGGATACCATGGAAGAGCAAGGCTTTGCATCGTATTTCGATATGAAACTGTTAGAAGCACCTTTATTTTGAATAGCCTCTAAGAAAAAGTTGGATAGAAAGAGTCTAAATGAAATATTCTGATTAATAACAGAACCTATACTATAAGATGGTGAATTTCTGATCAGAAAGGTGAAAAGTTCATC
The DNA here is from genome assembly GCF_000001405.40 of Homo sapiens. Lineage (NCBI taxonomy): Eukaryota > Metazoa > Chordata > Mammalia > Primates > Hominidae > Homo > Homo sapiens. The sequence continues at coordinate 12,654 of NT_187373.1, forward strand.
TACAGCTTAAGTGGACAAATTTAATTTTCTATAACATTCATATCTGATAGATTAAATAAACAGGTACAATTTCCTTAAGAAACATGCTTTATAAGTTTTATGGTCACTACATTCTTTAAAGTTAAGGGTTACATTCCTGGGAGATTAAATAAAAACTGCAAAGTTAACAGTTGATTTGCCTGAGGAGCTACTTGTTCTTCCTCAGTAAACATTGAAGAGAAAAGTAATGTAATATAACAGAAACAGAGCACGCATCTGATAAACATGTAACAGCAAAAGGGGGTGCACAGGCCTTTGCCCTACCTGGCTGGTGTCCTTTGTTCATTGTACTTCTGAGGTTGCCAGAATGTAAATGTTCATTTCACTATCTTAAATGAGCAGAGTAATAACCAGAATCAGACTTTGAATTCTAAAAGCTCTTGGATCAAGAAGATTCTGTCTTTCCAACGTTTGCATCAAATAACATCGTGACCTATACTATCTTTTTTAATATTAAGTGAAGCTTAATCAAAATTTTAGGTTTAAAATACAAGAGTCATTAAAAAGATACATTGTTAGGTAGAAAAACATGCAGAATAGTATGCTGTTTCATTTGGAGGGGAGGAAAAGAAAATAGAAAATGCTTAACATAACAATTTTTATTTTTATTACTTCATGTAAGAACTTCTCTACAACCACTGATTTTCTTACTTGCTTTCTAAGCAATGTAGAATTTTCGTCACCACTTCACCATTAATTTCTTGTTATTAATCCATTGCTGTTTTCCCAGCTGAAAGAGAAAACTTCCTTTTAATTTTCTAACTCATTTTGAAACAATTTCAACTTACAAAAGTTACAAAAATAGTAGAGATTCCCATATACCCTTCACTGTACTTTCCTGAATGTTGATATCTTACTATCACTACCATGATCAAAAGCAGGTAATGAGCGTCGATACACTACCATTCACAAAACCAGAGACCTTATTCACATTTTGCCAGTTGTCCCACCGAAGACCTGTTTCTGGGCCAAGACCTAATCCAGAATCCCACATTGCATTCAGTTGTCACCTCTCAGTCTACTTTAATCAGAAGCATTGCTCAGTCTTTGTCTTCCAGGACCTTGACACTCTTGAGGAGTACTGGTCAGTTGTTTTGTAGAATGTTCCTTCACTTGGATTTGTCTTATGTTTCAGCATGGTTAAATTCAGGTTATATATTTTTGGCAGGAATACTACAAGTTGATGTTGCATCCTTCTCTGTGCATCACTTCAGGAGGCACATGACATCCACCTGTGCTTTTACTAGAATGTTAACTTTGTCAGCAGGGTTCTGCCACAAGAAAATTACTGTTTCCCTGATGCAGTTAATAAGTACCTGATGGGGAGATACTTTGAAGCTATGTAAATGTCTTGTGTTTTCATCATACTCTAGCTCACAGTTGATCATCCATTATTCTTTTTCAAAATTACAGCTTTATTAAAGCACAACTTAGCCACTCATTTAAGTGTACAACTCAATGAGTTTTAATAACATTTATACAGTTGTGCCACAATCATCCCAATCCAGTTTTAGAACACTTTCACCATCCCAAAAAATTCCTTTGTGACTGTGTACAATTAATCTCTTTAGCTTAGGCCCCAGGTAACCATTGGTCTGCCTTCTGTCTTTGTTTATACAATACACTGAATTTTTTCTCATTATTTACTTGCTTGACTTTTTACTCTGAACAAATATTAGTTTATGAGTGAGAAGACAATTTCTAACACATTGTTTGGTATATGACACAGGAAAGACACTGACCAGCCTGGAAGTCAAGAGAAATAATGGATTCTTTAGTGTCAGACTAAACATAAACTTTGAATATTCTAGATACTAGCAGAACCTAAATTATCCAGTTGCCTTAGATCTTCAGTTAATTCATAAAAATAATTCCAATTAAATTCTTTCTCTGAATTTATAAAGTCAAAAGCATAACCTTTGATCCTTATAAGCACAAAGCAATTTTGATTTTATCATGTCAACATGCCTTAGAAAAATGGTAAGGTCCAGGGGTTTTGTTTCTTTGTTTTTTTCTTGTTGTCATTTTGTTTTGTTTTCCTTTGGTTTGTTAGTTTTGAAGGCCTTCACTTTTTGGTTTGCTGTTTAAAATTATTTTCTTCCGGAGCCAATTTTATTAACCCAGTGAAATATAATTTCAAGGACATTGTGTCTTACCCACACCCTCCAAGGTATGTTTTATATAATAAGGCAATGTTGTTAAAATCAGGATAATTTTATTTTTAAAAAATGTATATATCTAGCATCTCTCAAAAGAAAATCCTTAGATCTAGCAGTACATGGCCCAAGTTTCCACAGCTGGAGCAAGTTGTGGCCATCCACTTTAGATAGAATATGTTCTTTGGTTTGCCAAGGCCCCACCTATTCCCTATTGAATCACATCACAACTGCTTCATTTTTGTAAGCTCCTTATCTAGCCCTGTTGGACACTTGAGTTTGTTTATGTATTTATTTATATATAAATTTTTATTATATATATATATATATATATATATATATATATATATATCTGTATAACCACAACCACAGATGTGTGCATATTAAAATTTAACTATTTTCCATAGTTAAATTTTGGCAGGGATACTACAAATTGATGTTGTAGTATCAATTGGCAGGGATACTACAAATTGATGTTGCCAAGGCCCCACCTATTCCCTATTGAATCACACCACAATAGCTTCATTCTTGTAAGCTCCTTCTCTAGCCTTTCTGGACACTTGAGTTTGTTTATTTAGCCTTAGTAAAGTAAAGCTCACTAATGTTAAAGTTACAGGTATCCTCCCCAACACATAAATAGCGAATACACTACCATTTCTATCTCCCCACACTTCCAACGTTTAATTTTGGTTAGATTATTTCTTTTTCATTATCATGACTATGTAAACAATATCCACAGATGAGCTTTATAGTATCCTCTGATTCTTTTTTCATTCCTACTCAACTTTTTATTTTCCCTGAAATTAATAATTTTATGAGTTATAATTTTTAATGAGTTTTTATTGTAGTTTTGGTTGCATAATACCATATATTTATCATTAATTCATTCCCAAGCTCTTAAAAAGTTGCTTAAATCTCCTTTTCGTATGTTCAGATGAATCCAGTATTCTTTTAATTTCATTTTCTTCAAGAAATCTATCCTAGGGTCTTGTGATCTGCTCTGTGTTGGAAATTGTTGCCCTTTATGTTACATGCACAGCTCAGGGATCTTGCTGCAGATTCCCTTTTCTTCTGTCTTGTGCTGAATTCCCTTGATTCCTAAATCCTATGTTTTCCTCTTTCACAATTTATACCTTTATTTTTTGTGGAGCACATCCTCTAGTAGCTTCCTGAGAAAAAGTGTGCATCGAGTGAACTCTTTGAGACCTTGCGTATCTTAAAATGTTTTTAGTATATACATAGATTCAGTTGATGGGGTGGCTCGTTCAGTAATCAGGCTACATTAGGCTATGCTACAGCAACATATCCCTAAAGTCTTAGTGGCTTAATATGAGAGGAGTTTATTTCTACTTGCATCCCAGACCAAAGCAGGCCAGCTAACACTCACACAAGGCTACTTTCATTGGGCAGTTCCAGAAGTTGGGAGTCCTTCACTTCAGCTGTCAGAATGAGGCGGTGAGAGTGCAGAGAAGGCACTACTACTCTTAATTGTCTCAGACTAGAAGTGGCTTCTTATCCCATTCATACTCCTTTTGTGACTATTATTTATACTATCTGGTCTAAGTCCACAGGGACTGGCAAATGTAGAGATGAATATTTGTTTACTTCATATGTTCTGACACAGTGAAGTTGAGAATTCTGGGTTGGAATTCTTTTCTCTCTCTCTTTTTTTTTTTTTTTTTGAGACGGAGTCTCATTCTGTCACCCAGGATGGAGTGCAGTGGCATGATCTCGGCTCTCTGCAACCTCCACCTCCTGGGTTCAAGTGATTCTTCTGTCTCAGCCTTCTGAGTAGCTGGGATTACAGGCATGCGCCACCACGCCTGGCTAATTTTTGTATTTTTAGTAGAGATGGGGTTTCACCTTGTTGGTCAGGCTGGTCTCAAACTCCTGACCTGGTGATCTGCCCTCTGTGGCCTCCCAAAGTGCTGGGATTACAGGCGTGTTCCACTATGCCCAGCTAATTTTTGTATTTTTAGTAGAGACAGCATTTCACCATGTTGGTCAGGCTGGTCTTGAACACCTGACCTGGTGATCCATCCTCCTCGCCTCCTAAAGTGCTGGGATTACAGGCGTGAGCCACCATGCCCGGCCTCTTTTCTCTTTTGAATGTGGTAGGCACTGCTCTGTGTCTTCCGACTTCCAGTCTCCCAAATTGCTGGTGAGAAACCAGTTTAATTATTGACTCTTGGGTATGACTACTTCCTGTCTTCTGAGCACAGAAACACATAGGATTTTCACTTTGTTTCCAGTTTTTGTAGGCTGAATTGTGTCCCCTGCCCCACTTTCCACCAAAATTCACTCAGTGAAGCCCTAACCCCCAGTAGTTTAGAATATGACTGTATTTAGACGTGGGGCCTTTAAAGAGGTAATTAAGGTAAAATGAGGTCTAATGGGCAATTCTTAACCTAATATGACTGGTGTCCCTTTAAGAAGAGGAGACGAGGACACAGACAACACTGACCAAGGGAAGACAGTATGAGGACACAACTAGAAGGCAGCCATCTGTGAGCTAAGGAGAGAAGCATCAGGAAAAAACGAAACTGCTGTCACCTCGATCTTAGACTTCTAGCATCCAGAACCATGAGAAAACAAATTTCTGCTGTTCAAGCCACCCAGTCTGTGGTGTTTTGTTACTGCAGCTCTAGCAAACTAATATATCGGTATTTTAAAATCGCACAAATAATGTGCCTTGGGATGGGTCTAACTCCATTCTTTTTTTTTTTTTTTTCACTCAAGTAGTCTCTTACAATCTGAGAATTCATGTCCTTGGATTTTCTTGAATTATTTTATTGATTATTTCCTTTCTTCTCTTATCTCTGTTGCTCTTTGTGGATCTCCTCTTATTTAGATGTTGGACTTCTTATTTTAGTCCTTTAATTTTTTTCTTTTTCTTTTCTAACTCTCATTTTCTATATTTTTGCTTTGCTTACTGGGAGATTGGCTCAAATTTATCATCCAAACTTTCTCTGAATTTTTTATTCTACTATTATTTATTGTTCAAATTTCCCAGAGCTCCCTTTTTGTTTCTTGAATGTCCCTTTCTGAAATAGCATAAGACTGGTTCGTGGGTGCAATACAATATCTCCTCTTACACCTCTGTGGATATTTTTTAAAGTTGTGAATCAATTGAAACTTTTTACTTTTTACTTTTATTGGTACATAATAGGTATTTATATTTATGGGGAACATAAGATTTTTTTTTTTTTTTTTGAGACGGAGTTTTGCTCTTGTTGCCCAGGCTGGAGTGCAATGGTGTGGTCTCGGCTCACTGCAACCTCCGCCTCCCAGGTTCAAGTGATTCTCCTGCCTCAGCCTCCCAAGTAGCTTGGATTACAGGAATGAGCCACCATGCCCAGCTAACTTTGTATTTTTAGTAGAGACGGGTTTCTCCATGTTAGTCAGGCTGGTCTCAAACTCCCGACCTCAGGTGATCTGCCCACCTCAGCCTCCCAAAGTGCTGGGATTACAGGCATGAGCCATGTGCCCGGCAGGTATTTTAATGCAAGTATACAATGTGTGATAACCAAATCCAGGTAAATGGTATATCCGTTGCCTCAAGCATTTATCCTTTTTTTGTGTAACTAACATGCCAATTATACTCTTTTAGTTATTTTAAATGTACGGTAAATTATTGTTGACTGTAGTCACCCTGTTGTGCTAGCAACTATTAGATTTATTCATTCTATCTAACTATATTTTTGTACTCATTAACCACCCACCTCCCACCACAACTACCCTTCCAGCCTCTGGTAACCATCATCCTACTCTATCTCCCTGAGTTCAACTGTTTTCATTTTTGGGTCCCACAAATGAGTGAGAACATGTGAAATTTGCTTTTTTGGGCCTGGCTTATTTCACTTAACATAAGGTCCTCCAGTTCCAACCATGTTGTTGCAAATGACATTTCTCATTCTTTTTTATGGCTGAATAGTACTCCATTGTGTATATGTACCACATTTTAAAAAAATCTATTCATCTGTTGATGGACACTTAAGTTGCTTCCAAATCTTGGCTATTATGAATAGCGCTACAGTAAACATGAGAGTGCAGATATCTTTTCAATATACTGATTTCCTTTCTTTGGGGTATATATCTAGCAGTGGGATTGTTGAATTATATGATGGTTCTATTTTTAGTCTTTAGAGGAACCTCCATACTGTTCTCCATAGTGGCTGTACTACGCTCTGTGGATATTAATAATAGTTTTCTTCTCCCAGCATAGTCTTGGTTAGTTCCAAATTATTTTCTTTGTTTGTTTGTTTGCTTTGGTCTCTACCTTTCATGCTGGTAGTTCCCCTTAGATGTCTGATAATCTTTGGTAGTCTATTCAAATTTAGGAGTGAGGTACTAAAAGACCTTATTGGAAGTTCTGATTCCATGAATGAAACTTCTTGTCCACCAGCTTCAACTGGGTCATCTGGCTGGGCCATTTAGTTGGGTCATTCTCGACATCAGCATCTTTATGTCTTTCCTCTGGAAGTGGTCAGATACCCCAGAGAATAATTTTCTAATCTCTAGTGGTCTGGAATTAGAATGGGGTAAAAGACATGGGGTTCTGTTAGGTTATAAATGTTCCCATAAATTTTCACTACCCCTTCATTTATATTACTGAACTCCATCCCCAAATGTGCCAAATGTTCTCCAGGAAGTAAGTTTCTCTATTTACCTTATCTAGCCTCTGCCAGGCTGGGAGAGGGACCATTATCTGGCTATACAGGTTTGAAGAGAGGATGTAGGGATCTAACAACTTCTTATACAGACTTATAACCCAATCCTCCTATTTTTGACCCTACCTTTATCCCCATTTTCAGTGGTATCTGACATTTGGAAGCTGTTTGGGAGGTCTATGATGTAGTCAGGTACTTCTGAGTTTTCTCCAAGACAAATTTAGGGATCATCTTTCTCAGGTGTGTTACCTCTTGTCTATATGGCTTCTGAATTCCACAACCTTGTTGTTCTTGTCTTCCTTTCTAATTTCATCATCATTGTGGGTTTCTGCCTTAAAAAAATAATCCCTTTACTGTCATTTTATTAGGTTTCAGAAGAAAGCCAAAGTAAGTGCATTTCTGTAATTGATCACCTCTACTCAGTAGTCTATTTTGCATTTTTACAAGGAAATGACAAGTTTACTCAGGAGTGTTTGAAGACAAACAGGCCTGCTTTATAATTTTGCTACTGGCCATCCCTACCTTCAGTGCACTTGGTCAACAATTACGTCCACAAAACAGAAATTACAACTCTGACTCGTGCTTTTATCTGAGGAACCACAAGTCATTCACTTGTATGGTTCACTTGTCAACTGTAAGGGAAACTCTAACTGCTAATAACTTTAACTATATAGCCAAAAGGATCTTGTAAAACTCTTCCTATCTTCCTAGCTTTAGTCTTTGCATATAGTTCAAGGTTACTACTAACACTCCCCGACACCTGATTTTCTTCTGAAATACCAAAACCTCCCATTTTTGAGTGTTCAGTGTGTGCTAGAGACTGGGATAGGCGCATTTACATGGATGATCCCATTTAATCCTCCCCAAAACTTACAGTGTCTGGGCCAGGTGCGGTGGCTCACGCCTGTAATCCCAGCACTTTGGGAGGCCAAGGCAGGCGGATCATCTGAGATCAGGAGTTCGAGACCAGCCTGGCCAATATGGTGAAACCCCGTCTCTACAAAAAATACAAAAATTAGCCAGGCATGGTGGCGTGCGCCTGTAGTCCCAGCTACTCTGGAGGCTGAGGCAGGAGAATCGCTTGAACCCAGGAGGCAGAGGTTGCAGTGAGCCAAGATCGAGGCACTGCACTCCAGCCTGGGCAACAGAGCAAGACTCCGTCTCACAACAACAACAACAACAACAAAACCCTTATAGTGTCCATGTTATTATCTGTATTTTACAAAGAGGAAAATTGAGGCTCTGAAAAGTTAAAGGATTTGTTCAACGTAACACGTCTATTAAGTGGTGAAACTAGGGTTTGAATCCAAGTCAGCCTTACTCCCAACCACTTTCCACTTCATTATGTTGTCTTATTGATGACTTCCTGCCAGGACTTCCCAAGTGTTCATTTTCATGTCTGCAGCTCATTTAATTACTTTTAGTTCCTTTTTCATTTTCCAATCCAGTCATCTATACTATTACCCTATGTCAGTGAATGACATCCAGTTGGTTCAGTATTTCAAAATTTCTGGCCCACCTTCTCTTCTCATCTGTATCTGGTTACCTTTTTATCCACCTTATATATCATTTCCTAGGAAAGATTCCATGACCTCCCAAGGATTGACTTTGTACTTTTCATGTGCTTATACAGCACAAACAGAATCCTCTTTGCCCTATCAAGGTAGTAATTACCAGGTATAGAAATTATCTGTTTGCTTATTTACTCCCCAACTACACTAGGCTCCTAAGGACTGTGGCAATATTCATCTTATTTATGAGTCATATCTACAGCCTAGCACAGTGCCTGGCACATAGCAGGTGCTCACTACATATTTTGTTGAATGAATGCATAAATGAATGAGGTTACACACATACCTCTATGACATAGTTTGGATATTAGTTCCCTCCAAATATCATGTTGAAATTTCATCCCTAATGTGGGAGGTGGGGCCTAGTTGGAGGTGTTTGGGTCAGGGGGGCAGATCCCTCATGAGTTGCTTGGTGTCATTATGTTAGGATTGAGTGAATTCTCACTCTTAGTTCCTGTGGGATCTGGCTGCCTAAAAGAGCATGGCACTCCTCCCCTCTCTCTTGCTCCCTCCCTTGCCATGTGACATGCCTGCTCTCTCTTGGCCTCCCCCCATGGTTAGAAACTTCATGAGGTCCTCACCAGAAGCAGATGCTGGTGCCATGCTTCTTGCAGAGCCTGAAGAACCGTGAGTCAAATAAATGTCTTATTTTATTAAATTACCCAGCCTCAGATATTCCTTTATAACAATGCAAAATGGATTAAGACACTCGTATTTATTAGTCCATTCTCACAGTGCTCGGCTATTTATAAACGAAAGAGATTTAATTGACTCATAGTTCGGGGAGGCCTCAGGAAACTTACAATCATGGCAGAACGGGAAGCAAACACATCCTTCTTCACATGGCAGCAGCAAGGAGAGGTGCTGAGCAAAAGGGGGAAAAGTCCTGGATAAAACCATCAGATCTCATGAGAACTCCCTCACTATCATGAGAATAGCAGCATGGGCTAACCGCCCCCATGATTCAATTACCTCCCACTGGGTAACATGTGGGGATTATGGGAACTACAATTCAAGATGAGATTTGGGGGGGACACAGCCAAACCATATCACACTCTGTCTGAATTATTAATAAAATATTTTCTAATCTAAAGTAATGTTCCAATGATATTTTAGCATTTGACACTAAGTTTCAAAAATTTAAATTTAAATGAAAGAGGGTCTTAAATCTCTATTGCAAAAAGGACTCAGCTGAATAATCTGCGGCACAGGTTTAAATCGCCTTGGACCACACCGCCATGTTCCAGGGCTCACCGGGAGCCATCGAGATGAGAGACCACCCAGCCCTTGTGACTTGACTAAGAAATTAAATCCATATTATCAGCACGTTTTTAACTGGATGTGATATAAGGTTAACATATTTTGTAATCATTGTATTTATAAATATTTTGTCTAAATGTTATTGTATTCCAAGTTTTCCAAAAGAATCAACCAAATACAAGTTATAAATAAACACTATATTTGTTACGGGAGTTAAGCTAACCAAATTTATAACCCAGATTTAGATACACAAGAAAATCAGTTTTTAAAGTTTTGTTTAATAGAAAGCAGTGTAATACATCAAACATTAAACAACGAAAAATGTGTATGAATATTTATTTATTTATTTATTTTTTAAGCAGAGTCTGGCTCTGTCGCCCAGGCTGGAGTGCAGTGGCACGATCTCGGCTCACTGCAAGCTCTGCCTCCCTGGTTCATGCCATTCTCTTGCCTCAGCCTCCCGAGTAGCTGGGACTACAGGTGCCCGCCACCACACCCGGCTAATTTTTTGTATTTTTAGTAGAGACGGGGTTTCACCATGTTAGCCAGGATGGTCTCGATCTCCTGACCTCGTGATCCACCCGCCTCGGCCTCCCAAAGTGCTAGGATTACAGGCGTGAGCCACCGCGCCCGGCCATGAATATTTATTTTCACACACAAAAGTCCCTCAGACATTGATTCTTAAATTCAAAACACCAAAGGCATTGTATATGCCTTTTCATGTTTTCTAATTGTGAAGAAAATAAATTTTACTTAAAATGCTAATATTTGAATAAAGTATGCATTCATAATTATGTTCTTGTCTTTAAAGTTAATTTTTCAAACAGAACTAAATCAGTTTTATCTTCAGTAGATCTTTTAGAAAGGAAGCAATCCTACCTCATCTAATTAGAGTTTAGTCCTACTAGGAAGATACACTACAAATATTTATTGTGGCAATCTTTGAAAGCAAAATGAAAGGTGATTTTGGTTTCCTTTTCTATATGTTCTTGTATTACATTTTTCAGGTTTTTCTCTAAGTTCTTTTCTGTGATTTTTAAATCAGGGAGGAAAAATTCATTCAGTCTAAACACTTAATATTTCTTCTACAAGAAGTATCCTCATGGCTATTTTGTTATTTTGTTTCACTTAGGGGAAAATGGATTTGTTGGCCTCAAATAGCTGCTTTATTAGATGCAATGAAGCAGGGGACATAGAAGCAAAAAGTAAAACAGCAGGAGAAGAAGAAATGATGAAGGTAATGATGACATTTTATACAGATGACTGCATTCACACATGCGATGTGACTGTATCTCTTTAAAATGTTAAGTCATCATTTACTGTCACTTTGAAGATTTACTTAATAGCTTTTTATAATGTGGTGTTTCAAATAGACTCATTTTAAATTACAAATCGCATAGTTGATGGCTTGTTTATACAGTGTGGTAGAGAAATCAGTGCATCTAGGAGCTACCTTGCCATTATCTCCATGGATTAGTATCTTTTACTGGTAGTTCCACATGCTCTTTTTATGCTTTCATTTTCTTGTTTTCTTGCTTGTATTTTAAAATCTAATTTTTAAAATAGATAACATGTACACGTGGTCCAACATTTTTAAATAAAAGCATACGAAGATGAAGACATATGCCTGCCATGCATCTTGCTCACCTGTGTCCCAGCTCCTGTTCCTCTTTCCCTTTGTTTTGTTTTTTTATAGCCTCCTAAAATTTCTTTATAAACATATGAATATATTTATAATTTTCAACTGTCTTACACTAAAGGCAGCCTCCTCTATAGTTTTCTCGACTTTGATTTTTTTTTCTTTAAAATTGTATCTTGGAGAGTTTTCTACTATTAGTTTGAATGTAGAAAGCTTTCTCTTTTTCTTGCTTCTCCTCTCTTTCTCTCTCTCTCTTTTTTAACGCCACATAATATTCCATTTTAGGGATGTACCTTTATTTATTTAGTCTTTTATAGATGGAAATTTAGGCTGTTTCCAGTCTTTTGCTCTTATAAACAGTGCTGCAGTACATAACATTGAATATACATCAATTTGTAGATGTGCGGGTGGACCTGAAGATAAATTTCAAGAAGCAGAATTACCAGGTCGGGGTACACGCATTTGTATTTATGTAATGCTTGAGCTTCTGTGATGATAATCACTCTATGAAACATAAAAAATCATAGCAGAACTTCTGGGGCCTTAGCCCTTACATTTTAAAAATATTTTTAGTAATAGTACCCGTCTTCTTTGCATTAGGAGAAACATGAATCACATAAAACATGATTTTTATTTTATTTTTAAAATTTGTGTGCGTCACTAAGCTGGAAATAAAAGTTCCTTATTCCAGGCTAAATTCCCTCATCCGTAGTCAGACGCGTTATCCATTGCACCAGTGGCCTGTGCCCTCCCTAACCCTACTCTTTGTTTTACATCATTGTAAAAGTTACACAGACATCTTCATATCAAGGTGAAATTCTAAATAATACTGTTAATATAACCTAGATAAATCAGGTAGTTAACTGGAATTTGATGAAAACATTTAAGGCTTAATTTTTTAGACTCACAAAAGCCACTGATCTTTAATGATAAACATATATCAGGATGTGTCTAAAGAATAACTCCCCCCTTCTTGACACATGGCTTTTCTGTGTCTTGGCATTCCATCGCAGTACTGAGCATCCTGAACCTTGCTTTGTTTGTCTCTTTTGGGAATCACTGGTTGCATCCAGTCTGACCCAGATTTACTCTGTCAGGCATTGTGGGGGCCAGAGTGGAAGGCTCTAAGAGAGGGGGCAAATGCCTTTTCTAAAACGGCCTTCGTTCTTATAATCAGAGCATAAAAATTTATGTTACGTTTTTCTCTACTACCAGTGTAATTTAAAAGCATCTATCAATTCTCTGTATGTGCTTCATGTTAGATTTCCGGTCATATGTTTGATTTTCTTTTTAGAATAGTCTTGATTTCAGATAATTTCAAATCTAAAGCTCAAACAATTTCAATCTAAAATGTAGGTATTTTCTTACAGTTAGAGAAGTGAAGTGTTATATTTTTTCGTTGCATGCATCCGGCACATGCGTTGCAGTCTTGAATTTCCATAATGCTCCTGTGAGGTGGATGTGAGCTCAGCCTTACAGACAGTAAGACAGCCTCTGACCTTCCTTACATCCTCGTGGTTTTTGTCAGTCAGTTCATGGAAATCACAGTGATTTCAAGGTGTGGTAAGACAGGATGTGTACCCAGGCCCAGCTGACTCCAGAGGCCAGTCTCAGTATTTCATAGCACATTGCTTCTCAGGAAACAGGTCATGGAGGAAATGCAGATGGGTTTGTGACTTACATTTAATTTAATTTATTTATATTTTATTGTATCATGTTTAAATTATTTTTCATCTGGATATCATCACAAAAGTGTTATTGAAGGCAACAATTGCAAATATATGTGCAGTGCTTTGCACTTATACAAAGATACAAAGATACTTACACAAAGATTGCATTTTTCACTGTTTAAAGCAATTTTCAGATGAAATACAAAGTTTTCTGGGTCTCTTTGGTTAGTCAAGTACTTGGAAGCTCTGAACAGTGATTATTTAGGACTCTTTTCGTACCATTTAATTGCAGGCTCTCCTAATCTCTGTCAGCCCTTCACCTTTATAACCTTGCCTTATCTACCAGAACACAGATCCCTCTTACTAAAGGTAGCATTGTGCTACAGGCCCTAGCAGGGAATGTTTTCAGGTCTGGGACCCCTCTAATCAAAACTGTTACAAAGATGTCATTGGCACAAACACGTTATTTGTCATCACTTTCTAAGCAGCCCTGGAACTAGACTCTGGCCACAGAGATCCCTTAGGAGACATGAGTCCTTACCATTGCCAATTACCTGTTCTGTGGGCGATCCTAATTGTTGAATGCAGATCAATTAACTTATGACATGTGATAGTAAACATCTATCCAAACTTAGGAGGATATAAGAAGCTAGTAAAAGAGGTGGGTTCCAATTAATTAAAAACAAGTTGTGTAATGTTAAAAGTTTTAATACTTTGGTAATAGTCTGTGCAATCTAAAATAGCTATTAAGCTTTCAATCTGATCAAATGAACACTTGTCTACTAGGGATAATTTGATCCTAGTGTATTGACTTGGAGGACAAAATTAAATTAGTTAATGATTGCTTTACTGCCTAACAGATCTGATGTGTAAAATGTTTCTGAAATAATTTTGTCTGTAGTGTTTCTGACACAAGGGCTGTGGAGGAAGCATGTGATAGCACTTACTCATATAGATTATATATATGAAGTAAAAACACATAGCCAGAACCTGTCTTTTTCTGAATATAGTTGCTCAGTTAATTTTTTCTTCTGCATAAGAAATCATCTCGAATGTTCTTATGTGATACGTAAAGTGGGGAAGGTGGAAGATAAACATATAACCCATTGGATTCTCTTTTCCAATATCTAGATTAGATCCTGTGCTGAAAGAGAAACCAAGAAAAAAGATGACATTCCAGAAGAAGACAAAGGAAATGTAAAACAATGTGAAATCAATTATGTGTATGTATGCTTTTCCTTTTAGACCTACAGATTTGACAGTGAAGTGCTTCTCAAAGTGCTTTCAAAATAAATTACCTAATTAGCTGGGGATGGTGGTGCATGCATGTAGGCCCAGCTACTCGGGAGGCTGAGACAGGAGGATTGTTTGAGCCCAGGAGTTCAAGGCTGCAGTGAGCTCTGATCACCACTGCATTCCAGCCTGGGTGACAGAGCAAGACCCCGTCTGAAAAAATGAAAACTGATGGACAAGAAGAGGCAACACAATGTAGCCTCTGGGACAGAGCACTGAGCTAAATGCTTTTCTTTTCTTGAGGGTTCAGTTTTCCTAATCATCCTACCAGCTCCCAAAACTAGTCAGTCGGGTTAGTCAATCTCTCTATTCATTCATACAATGGGAGTGATGCCAGTCAAAGGCTGTGCTATGGCCAGGACACAGGGGACTCCAGCCAGCATGCCCTAATAGAAATGGGGCCTTGTGCTACCCAGTCAATGAGTGGCCCTCCTCTTGAGAGGTCACCTTTGTTGTTCAAAAGCTCCAGCTTATTTAAAAAAATATAATTAGACTTTTTTTTTCTCCCCCAAGACGGAGTCTCGCTCTGTCCCCCAGACTGGAGTGCAGTGCCATGATCTCGGCTCATCGCAACCTCCACCTCCCAGGTTCATGTGATTCTCCTGCCTCAGCCTCCCGAGTAGCTGGGACTACAGGCACACGCCACTACGCTCGGCTAATTTTTGTATTTTTAGTAGAGACGGGGTTTCACCATGTTGGCCAGGCTGTTCTCGAACTCCTGACCTCGAGTGATCTGCCTGCCTTGGCCTCCCAAAGTGCTGGGATTGCAGGCATGAGCCACTGCACCTGGCCTACAATTAGACTTTTTTAATAAGTGAAAAAGAAATTAACAGTATTTATAAATTTAATAGTAAATATGTATAATCAGAGTTTGAGGTTTTTTCAATGAAGGCATTTTCTTTGCAGAAAGAAATTTCAGAGCTTCCAAGACCACAAACTTAAAATAAGTCAAGAAGCAGTAAAATTCTTAAAAAGACGCAGAAAGATGGATTTTTGCATGAGACGCTTCTGGACAGGTAGCTATTTATTTACTTATTTCCACTATTTTCAGTAGCCAATAGAAATGGCATATAGAAAACCTACATTCTCTTAAATTACTGTAGTTTTCACATTTTTGTCTTTATTTCTAATTTATGAGTGTGGCAATATTACCTAGAGAGGACATCATGAGTTTGGGAAAAGACTTTCAAGAAAGAATATCTAAAAATTATAACCGATTCTAAACATATACTTTAAGAAATTCAGGTTTGACTGTATCTACTTCATAAATTTATCATTATCTTTTTATAACTATTAGAACCAGAGTTAGAAAGAAGCAGTTTGACTAATATAAAAATTATGTGGATTCTGTTAGAGTAGTTCAGGTTCCTTAAAATAAGCATAGATCAACTAAAAAACTAAGTATAAAAGCTAAACAAGTGAAATTGAAGCAGTTTTACTGTAAGATTTGGAAGAGTGCAGGATGTTTATCATAGCACATTGTTAATATTTATTACTATTCCTATGTAGATAAGTGATGTCCTAGATTTACAACATAGAAAAACAGGTAGAGACGTTTAGCTGTGAGTGTACAAGTATAAATCAATTAAGTGCCAGATTTTGATAATCACCAGCCGCTCATTCAAGTCCTATGTTGGAAAGTTACTCTTACCCTTTTTTTACATTACTTGATAAAGTCAATGTTTAATTACGTATTTCCTGTTAACTAGCTGGTAGAGTTCATACCTAAAGTCAGTAAATAACGTTAAGAACTTTTTCCAGCTGAGCAAATGAGTATGTATCTAGTTGTAAGAAATCAAGAAGAGGATATAAAATATAATCAGGATGTGGAGTCTAAAACGGAATAAGCTCTATGTCCTGTAACTTTTTTCACTTGTAATAATACAGCGTTCTCACCCTGTTAAATGGAAATTTAGAGCACCCTTAAATTCCAGAATAATTAAAATTGCTATTTGGATTGAAAAAGCCCTTAGGCAACATTTATTGAATATTAGGAAATAACTTTTATAAGATTAGAATCCATTTTTTATAGAAACCAAATTTAAAAGTATACATATTTTAATATAAGTGTTGTGGTAATACACTAACCAAAATTGAACACACAGTTTTAAAGCTTTTTATATTTAGTAGCAGTTGAATATATATGACATGTTTTACATAGATTAATTTTACTATTTTTCTTTATTTAAACAAGAGAACCAAATTGAAAGCTGACAGATACTGCAAATGACTGGGATTTTTGTTTCTGCCTTATCTTTTTGTGTTTTTTTTCTGAATAAAATATTCAGAGGAAATGCTTTTACAGAGTTCTTGAGTTGTTGTGAACTTATTGTTTAGCTAGTAGCTAGTTTAACCAGGATTAAACAAGTTTAATCAGGATTCTTCATGGATGTACTTTTTAGCTAACTACAGTTTTTCACATGGAAATGAAACTTACAGTAAACACTTAACGTACCACAGAATTTTTTTCTGGATTTCTGGTCCTGAAGCATGAAGTGTACTAGAAACCAATTCTTCCTGCGCTACTTGTGGAATCTTTCTTACTGGATCATAATCTTACTTTACTTTATACAATAGATGCTTAATCAGTGCCTTTAATAGGAAGTTAGAAACTCCCAATCCAATCAACAAGGCTTTGATTCTACCTCCTAAGTACTACCCAGATCACAGACAATCCAAATATCAGAACTAGGGGGCTGGGCAGAGAGGACAAATCATCTATTAGGGAGTGGGACAGAAAGTGGAAACATTACAAAGGAGCAAGTAGGCTCAGAACAGAGGGGAGAGTAATACTGGGGAAACTCCCTACTGAGGACAGGTTTGCCACAGTGGATATGTATGTGATGCTTTTGTCCTCATGGGCTGGAATGGAAGCTGATAAAGAAGTTCAGACGCTACGTGTTGCTTAGGTCTGCTTTGTTGAAGCATGTCTCTTTCAGAGTTCCTAAACACAATATTCCCGTGGCATCTAATCCCAGTGAGTGCTCCAAATCCAGGCTGTGTATCAGATGCCACGGGAAATTCTGCCTCAGGACTGAGGTTGGTTCAAGCATCTGGATGATGTCAAAAGTCCACGTTGTGTGCTGGCCTAACCTGAAAGACCCTATCTAGTTCTAGCCTTTAAATTCCTTCTGTCACCAAATCTAGAGTTACATGGCATCTGTACAAGCTAGGTAGCTGAGGCATGGGATCAGCTCTATAAAGGAGCTTTTGGAGCTTTTGTTGTAGGTCTAGCTCCAACTTGGCACTCCAGTTCCAATAGCTGGACTTTCTCTCATCGTGTGTTCTGATCCTTGGATTGGGAACAAAGTAACCACTCTGATCTCACAAAGCAGTGGTTCCAGTTCCCAACTGGTGACTATTTTGCCTCCCAGGGGACATTTTCGTTTTCACAACTGGAATACGGTCTTAGAGAGTAGAGGCTAGGGATGCTGCGAAGCATGTGGCAGAATCCTGTTCCGCCCAGAATGCTAACAGTGCCAAGGTTATGGAGCCTTCCCACCCGAGGGCTTGGTCTATTCCTTGCTTTTGCCAGCTCCCTAACCCTTAAACACAACAGTTCAAATCTATATGCATAAGCATCTCCTAGGGACCTGCACGTTTCCAATATCGACTACTGAGACCCATCTGTAGAGATGCAGGCTTAGGAGGTCTAGGATTGGGCTCAAAATTTGCATTTTAACAAGTACTCCAGGTCATTCTGAAGCAAGTGA
Organism: Homo sapiens; assembly: GCF_000001405.40. Taxonomy (NCBI): domain Eukaryota; kingdom Metazoa; phylum Chordata; class Mammalia; order Primates; family Hominidae; genus Homo; species Homo sapiens. Next base: position 30,665 of record NT_187373.1, read on the forward strand.
TACAAACCACAGAATGAGGAACACCGCCTTCAAGAGACTGAATCTTGCTTCCCAACACTAGCTTGGTATCTGAGACCATCTGCCTGCTGACTGGCTTTCCTGGCACAAACATTCTGCATGTAGGCACAGTGTGTTCCTGGACTCCACGTCAACCCGTTCACCCTCATGTTCCCTTGGTTCCTGTCCCCAGTCCAGCAAGCAGAACTGATTATAGATCTTGACAACAGAAGATACAGATTTAAAATAACTTGCCTGTTCCCGTGGACTTTATCCACTAGTGAAGGAGGACAAGTGGACAAGGGGAGAGGGTAGGTGGGGGCTCCTTCCCTATTCCTCCCATTCCACTTTATACAAACCCCAGCTAGACCACTGGGAGAGCAACGGGGGTTAAGAATGACTCCATCTAAATATTGTCATCTGGTCCACTCTTCTTCCATCTTGTACACAAGGATATCATGAGTTTTGTTTAAATTACTGGGAATTTCGTCTGCTCAGTGTTTGTTTTGTCTGCAGCCATTCCCAGAATTCTAGGACAAGACTAGCTTCTTTGCCAACGGGGTGAACAGGAAGGAACCCAAGTAGGAATTGCCTTTTTAAAAAAATACCTTCCCCCCCTCTTAATTACGTAATGCATGCATTTTTATAGCTTTTTTGCTTATTCCATTACCTGAGGTCAGCCACTGATATTTAACCCATCCTTAGCCTCGGAGGAGGGCAGAGGAGCACTCGTCATATTGATTTCGCTAGCGGTGACATGATTTCCTCCTGTGCCACTCAAATTTCTCTCCTTCTTTAACTTGATGCTCAGTAGGTTGTGTTTCACTCGTCTTTGCAGATTGTTAGGAAGATGAGAATTAGCTTCCATTTTTGATGTTGCCATAGAGAAGACTCCATGGTAATGTTTATTTGCACAATCAACTTTTTCTTTTCCCCCAGAAATTGCAAATTCTTATGTGAGAGACAGCTTTCCGGAGTCTGCAAGCATAGATTATCGTCTCTCTTTTGATGGTAAATTTCTTATATCCTCACCAACAATAAAATACTTACATATAATTTTGGCATGTCATATTGATTGCCAACTACAAGTAAGAATATTCCTTGATTTTAAATCTAGATTAATTATGAAAATTTGAGTAGCCACAAAAAATTATTGTGTACAAATTTATAGACCTCTTCTTAGGATTAAATGAGTTAATATTAACTAATATTTATTGTGTAGTTAAGGTATGGCAGAAGCTTCCTCTGTACTATTTCATTTTATACTTAAAACAATATTCCATGCAAAATGCTATAATTTCCCTATACCTCCAATTTGCACATGATAAAACTGGGCCTCATAAAGTTTTCACCCCAGAGTTCTCTGCTTAGTAAGAAGTAGAAGGAAGTCTAAACCTAGGTCATCTGATTTCAGAGCCCATATAGTTAAAATGCTCTAAATACAGCTTCCCATGGTGATGGTGACTATGAGAGCCTGTCACATATGATGTAGGACCCCAGTGCTTCCCTGTAACATGTGCAAGATTCCCGTGATGACGGTGACTATGAAAGCCTGTCACATACGATGTAGGACAGTGCTTCCCTGTAACATGCGCAAGATTCCCATGATGATGGTGACTATGAGCCTTTCACATATGATGTAGGACAGTGCTTCCTCTGTAACATGCACAAGATTCCCGTGATGATGGTGACTATGAGAGCCTGTCACATATGATGTAGGGCCCCACTGCTTCCTCTGTAACATGCTCAAGATTCCCGTGATGATGGTGACTATGAAAGCCTGTCACATACGATGTAGGACAGTGCTTCCCTGTAACATGCAGAAGATTCCCGTGATGATGGTGACTATGAGAGCCCGTCACATATGATGTAGGACAGTGCTTCCCTGTAACATGTACAAGATTCCCGTGATGATGGTGAGTATGAGAGCCTGTCACATATGATGTAGGACAGTGCTTCCTCTGTAATATGCACAAGATTCACCCGTGGATCTTATTAAAATGGAAACTCATAGACCACACTTTGACTAGCTAAGATAGGAGCATTTAAATGGATGTCTTGGTGACAGTGCTAAGATGCTACTGTTCATGTGGGCACTGGCTCACCACATTAACGAAGCTTAGGACCTCAAGTCCCGGCTGGAAAAGAAATACAGATACATAGGATGTGACTGTGCATATGGAATGTCTGTTGTGTTCTGGACATTGTACTAGACACTAGAGATAAAAAGTCAAATATCCCTTGCCTCTATCTGAAAGGAGCTTCCTACTCAGTGGCTTCTGACTGCAGTGTATATGTTCTTTTCTGTCCTGGGTGGGTGAGCTCTATCTCAATGTTGGTAACTGAACACTGCCCAATGGGTTTGATGAGGGAGATCATAGCTAGCTGTGCTCCCACAAAGCTATGACCATAGCATGTCTCGTGATGCCATTTCCCCCTTGTCAGAAGGGTCCCTCCAGTATCATACATGCTCCCCATGATTATAAATTCTTCCTCTTTGCACTAAATGTTCCTAAATCTTGCAAAGATAAAAACATAAACCACATTCTCATCATATTAGTTATATAAATATATATGCACCCAATACAGGAGCACCAAGATTCATAAAGCAAGTCCTGAGTGACCTACAAAGAGACTTAGACTCCCACACATTAATAATGGGAGACTTTAACACCCCACTGTCAACATTAGACAGATCAACGATACAGAAAGTCAACAAGGATACCCAGGAATTGAACTCAGCTCTGCACCAAGCGGACCTAATAGACATCTACAGAACTCTCCACCCCAAATCAACAGAATATACATTTTTTTCAGCACCACACCACACCTATTCCAAAATTGACCACATACTTGGAAGTAAAGCTCTCCTCAGCAAATGTAAAAGAACAGAAATTATAACAAACTATCTCTCAGACCACAGTGCAATCAAACTAGAACTCAGGATTAAGAATCTCACTCAAAACCACTCAACTACATGGAATCTGAACAACCTGCTCCTGAATGACTACTAGTTACATAACGAAATGAAGGCAGAAATAAAGATGTTCTTTGAAACCAACGAGAACAAAGACACAACATACCAGAATCTCTGGGACACATTCAAAGCAGTGTGTAGAGGGAAATTTATAGCACTAAATGCCCACAAGAGAAAGCAAGAAAGATCCAAAATTGACACCCTATCATCACAATTAAAAGAACTAGAAAAGCAAGAGCAAACACATTCAAAAGCTAGCAGAAGGCAAGAAATAACTAAAATCAGAGCAGAACTGAAGGAAATAGAGACACAAAAAACCCTTCAAAAAATTAATGAATCCAGGAGCTGGTTTTTTGAAAGGATCAACAAAATTGATAGACCGCTAGCAAGACTAATAAAAAGAGAAGAATCAAATAGACACAATAAAAAATGATAAAGGGGATATCACCACCGATCCCACAGAAATACAAACTACCATCAGAGAATACTACAAACACCTCTACGCAAATAAACTAGAAAATCTAGAAGAAATGGATAAATTCGTCGACACGTACACTCTCCCAAGACTAAACCAGGAAGAAGTTGAATCTCTGAATAGACCAATAACAGGATCTGAAATTGTGGCAATAATCAATAGCTTACCCATATTAGTTATATAATAATGATAAAAGTTCCTTACTTTTCTTTCTTTTTTTTTTTTTTGAGACGGAGTCTTGCTCTGTTGCCCAGGCTGGAGTGCAGTGGCGCGATCTTGGTTCACTGCAAGCTCCGCCTCCCAGGTTGACAGCATTCTCCTGCCTCAGCCTCCCAAGTAGCTGGGACTACAGGCACCCGCCACAATGCCTGGCTAATTTTTTGTATTTTTAGTAGAGACGGGGTTTCACCGTGTTAGTCAGGATGGTCTTGATCTCCTGACTTTGTGATCCGCCCACCTCAGCCTCCCAAAGTGCTGGGATTACAGGCGTGAGTCACCGTGCCCAGGCCAAGTTCCTTACTTTTCATGTGTTTAATATTTTCTCCCAGTTTATAGAATATATTGATTGAGAATAAATTTTAGCCACGCATATCTATTAAAAACTTCATGATATACTTTGCTATTTTTAAATTTCTTATGCTCTTATAAAATGTGTGTTCTGGACTCATGTTGGCTTCCATTTCTTCCCTCTGGCTTCTGTTAGTTTAGGCTATGAGCAGAGATGGACAAGGTGGCTACTGTAATGGATCAAGGCTATGAGCATCTTGTGAAGTAGGATGTTAAATCTGTAAATATCAGAATGAATCCAAACTTATCAATTCAAAACTGCATTGTAAAACAGCTCAAAAAAGACTAAAAACACAGCTCTACACTTTAGGAGGCTGAGGCAGGCAGATTGCTTGAGCTCAGGAGTTGGAGACAAGTCTAGGAAACATGGAAAAACCCTGTCTGTACAAAAAAATATATTTTTAATTAGCTGGGTATGGTGGTATGAGCCTGTGGTCGCAGCTTTTCAGGAGGCTGAGGTGAGAGGATTGCTTGAGCCTAGAAGGTAGAGGCTGCAGTGAGCTCTGATCACGCCACTGCATTCCAGCCTAGGTGACAGAGTGAGACCCGTTTCAAAAACAAACAAACAAAAATAACTAAAAAAAACAGGTCTAAACGAAGGTGGCCAGAAAAGTAGCTCAACTTGTTCCTGTCTGGTTAAATACAAACATAAATGAACTACTTATATGCCCCAGTGGCTTCATAATGCTGAAAGCAAAGTCAATTGTTCTAGCAGGTTCTGGAAAACTTTATCATATCATGGGGTTCAATGAAAATATCAAATCGTAAATAAAATAATCAAATCTGAAAGTGAATCTTGTTTCAAAGACCTCAGAAGCCACTGTGTCAGAAGCTCTTTTCAGATACAGACAAGGGATTATTTGACTCCTTATCTCTGTTGTCTAGCACAATGTCCAGAACACAACAGATATTCCATATGCACAGTCACATCCTATGTATGTGTATTTCTTTTCCAGCAAGGACTAGAGGTCCTAAGCTTTATTTATATGGTGAGCCAGTTCCCAAATGAGCAGGAGAATCTTAGCACAGTCACCTACACACTCATTTCAATGCTCTGGCCCCTTATCCAAGCTAGTCAAAGTGTGGTCTATGGTTTTGCATTTTAAGGAGATCCCCGGGCGAATCTTGTGGCTGTCAAAGGAGGAGAAGCACTGCCGAAAAGGTGAACTAATTTATTGAGGTAGGCTGGCTATTTATTTATTTATCTTGTTGATGGGAAGATTCAAATTGACATACACAATCACCCCCATAAAGATTTCAGGTAAAAAACAAACAAAGGTTTAGATATCAGAAGTGTTTTACAATTACCACACCACTCTTTACTACAGCATCCAGTAGCACATTTCCAATAGACTTAGGTGAAAATTTCTATCTCATGAGCCTTCTGTCAGTACTTTTAAAATTGGATACTCAATAAATAGTGGCCAAATTGAATCTCTTACAGGCATCTCACTCAAACTGCAGTCATATTTTCCAATAGGCCCCATAAAAATCCTTGTTCTGGAGCAATCTAATATATTTATCCACCTCTTCAGACACTTAGGTAAGTATAATAATACAAGTTTTTTTGTGTGTGTGTGTATTGGGTACCTTGTGGCCTCTTGCCCAGTTTCTGCAACACCTGAAGCTGAGGAAGTTTAATGTAAATAACATCCAGCAATGTTAGAAATGTTGACTGTTATGTGTCCATCAGGAAAAAAGGATGAATGTTATTGTAGAGGAAATTTTCATTCTGGAAAAAATGCATACTGTTTGAATATTACTTTCATGCTTTCCACAGATATTATACACAGATATTATATTCCAAGGGTTATGTTTCAAAGTCATCAAAAATAGAAAATACTTTTTATATTTCTAGCTGAAAATAATAACAGTGATTAGCCTATCTTTGGGGAAATGTGATAAAAATACTAATGACCATCACAACTGATTAAAAGCATAAAATGTGCAATGATTTAAACTACAAGTTCTTTATATGAATTATATGCGTAGAAATATAGACACATTTGATAAATTCTATTTAAAGTCTGAGTGCTTTGGTAAATGATTCAGTCATCTGTAGATTGAAGGGATTACTTTTATCTGCCTTCATAGTGAGAATTAGATTTCTATTCTTTATAAAGCAGGGAATATAGATTGTGCATGGAGTAAAAGCATTCAATCATTATTAATGATGGTAGCGGCGCTGCAGAGGAGAAAGCCTGTCAGAGTAACGTATTCAGTTTTACATCGTAATCAGAGTGTGTCGATCTCTGCTGAAGGCAGAATTAAAAAGCCCTTCAACATTTTTTAAATAATAGATGAAAAACATCTCAAAGTCACTTTTAAAATTTGAATTGATGATTCCACATAACAGGAAAAGGACCAAGAACATCTTAAAGAAATACTTCACGATGGAAGTGATGTTTTAAGTGCAATTTCATCAAGGAGAAGTTTTTCCAGAAAGTCTTTTGACCTCAGGAAGAATCTCATTAGTTTACTCTGGTAAATAGTTTCTAGTAAAATGAGAAAGAGTTGACTTTTTAAAAACAATAAAAAATTTACACGGTTTAATCTAATGTGATTTCAAAAGTGCTGCTTGGGCCCTCAAAGTTATGCATGTGTATTTATACGCATTTTCTTGGCTCACTCAAACGCCAATAAAATACTTTACTATCCAGGCTCCTTAAAAGCCAAATTAATTTCTAAAAATGAGGATTGTATGTATTCTGTGAGGTGTGTGCAGGTGTATGCATGATATGTGTGTGTGGTCTGTGTGTGTAGTAGGTACATGGGGTATGTATATGTGTGTGTGGAGTGTATTGTGAGTGTTATGTGTGTATACTGTGTGTGGTATGTGGGTGGTGCATGGTGTGTATAAGTGCTGTGTTTGTGGTGTATGTGTGTGTGGTGTGTATGTGTACTATGTGTGGTGTGTGCATGTGATATGTGTGTGGTGTATGTGATGTGTGTGTATGGTGCTGTGTGTGTGCGGTGTGTGTAGTGTTTGATGTGTGCTTGATGTGTTTGTAGAATGTGTGTGTGGTGTGGTGTATGTACGTGAGGTATGTGTTTGCTCTATGTGTGTGGCACTGTATGTACGTGTACAGTGTGTGGGGAGTAGGTGTGGGGTGTGTGGTGTGTGGGGAGTATGTATGGGGTGTGTGATGTGTGTGGTGCTGTATGTGTGTGGTGTATGTGTAGTAGATTCATGTGTGTGGTGTGGGGGTGTGTGCACGTGTGCACATACTGTGTGGTGTGTGTGATGTCTGTGGGGGGTATGTTTGCACATGGTGTGTACACAGTGTGTGTGGTGTCAGAGGTGTGCATGTGTGCACATGGTGTGTGTACAGTGTGTGGGGTGTGTGCATGTATACATGGTGTGGGTGCAGTGT
>NT_187375.1:0-39050 GCF_000001405.40 Homo sapiens
GCTCCTTTCAGATAGAGGCAAGGGATATTTGACTTTTTATCTCTAGTGTCTAGTACAATGTCAAGAACACAACAGACATTCCATATGCAGAGTCATATCCTATGTATCTGTATTTCTTTTCCAGCAGGGACTGGAGGTCCTAAGCTTCATTAATATGGTGAGCCAGTGCCCACATGAACAGTAGGATCTTAGCACCGTAACCTGGACATCCATTTAAATGCTCTTGTCTTAGCTAGTCAAATTGTGGTCTATGAGTTTGCATTTTAATAAGATTCCAGGGTGAATCTTGTGCATGTTACAGGGAAGCACTGTCCTACATCATATCTGACAGGCTCTCATAGTCACCATCATCAAGGGAATCTTGCACACATTACAGGGAAGCACTGTCCTACATCATATGTGACAGGCTGTCATAGTCACCATCATCACGGGAATCTTGGGCATGTTACAGGGAAGCACTGTCCTACACCATATGTGACAGGCTCTCATAGTCACCATCATCAAGGGAATCTTGTGCATGTTACACGGAAGCACTGTCCTACATCGTATCAGACAGGCTCTCATAGTCACAATTCTCACGGGAATCTTGTGTGTTTTACAGAGGAAGCAGTGTCCTATATCATATGTGACAGGCTCTCATAGTCATCATCATCACGGGATCTTGGGCACGTTACAGGGAAGCATTGTCCTACATCATATGTGACAGGCTCTCATAGTTACCATCATCACGGGAATCCTGTGTATGTTACAGGGAAGCATTGTCCTACATCATATGTGGCAGGCTCTCATAGTCACCATCAACATGGGAATCTTGTGCATGTTACAAGGAAGCACGGTCCTACATCATATGTGACAGGCTCTCATAGTCACCATCATCGGGAATCTTGTGCATATTAAAGGGAAGCACTGTCCTACATAGTATCTGACAGGTTCTCAAAGTCATCATCATCACAGGAATCCTCTGCATGTTACAGGGAAGCACTGTCCTACATCGTATCTGACAGGCTCTCATAGTCACCATCATCACGGGAATCTTGGGCAAGTTACAGGGAAGCACTGTCCTACATCATATGTGACAGGCTCAAATAGGCACCATCATCACAAGAATCTTGTGCATGTTACAGGGAAGCACTGTTCTACACAGTATCTGACAGGCTCTCATAGTCACCATCATCACGGGAATCTTGCCCACGTTACAGGGAAGCACTGTCCTACATCATATGTGAAAGGCTCTCATAGTTACCATCATCACGGGAATCTTGCACACGTTACAGGGAAGCACTGTCCTACATCATATGTGACAGGCTCTCATAGTTACCGTCATCACGGGACTCCTCTGCATGTTACAGGGAAGCACTGTCCTACATCATATGTGACAGGCTGTCATAGTCACCATCATCACGGGAATCCTGTGCATATTAAAGGGAAGCACTGTCCTACATAGTATCTGACAGGCTGTCATAGGCACCATCATCACGGGAATCTTGTGCATGTTACAGGGAAGCACTGTCCTACATCATATGTGACAGGCTCTCATAGTCACCATCACCAGGGGAAGCTGCATTTAGAGCATTTAACTATATGGGCTCTGAAATCAGATAACTTAGGTTTAAACTTATTTCTACTTCTTACTAATCAGAGAACTCTGGGGTGAAAACTTTACGAGACCCAGTTTTATCATGTCCAAATTGTAGACAAGGTGAAATTATAGCATTTTGCATAGAATACTGTTTTAAGTATAAAATGAAATAGTACATAGTAAGCTTCTGCCATACACTGACTGCACAATAAATATTAGTTAATAGTAACTCATTTAATCCTAAGGTCTATAAGTTTGTGCACAATAATTTTTTGTGACTACCCAAATTTTCATAATTAGTCTAGATTTAAAATCAAGGAATGTTCTTACGTGTAGTTGGCAATCAATATGACATGCCAAAATTATATGTAAGTATTTTATTGATGGTGGGGATATAATAAATTTACCATCAAAAGGGAGATGATACTCTATGTTTGCAGACTCCAGAAAGCTGTCTCTCACATAAGAATTTGCAATTTCTGGGGGAAAAGAAAAAGTTGATTGTGCAAATAAACATTACCATGGAGTCTTCTCTATGGCAACATCAAATATGAAAGCTGATTCTCATCTTCCTAACAATCTGCAAAGACGAGTGAAACACAACCTACTGAGCATCAAGTTAAAGAAGGAGAGAATTTGAGTGGCACAGGAGGAAATCATGTCACCGCTAGGGAAATCAATATGACGAGTGCTCCTCTGTCCTCCTCCGAGGCTAAGGATGGGTTAAATATCAGTGGCTGACCTCAGGTAATGGAATGAGCAAAAAAGCTATAAAAATGTATGCATTACATAATTAAGAGAGTGGGAGGGGATTTTTTTAAAAAGGCAATTCCTACTTGGGTTCCTTCGTGTTCACCCCATTGGCAAAGAAGCTAGTCTTGTCCTAGAATTCTGGGAATGGCTGCAGACAAAACAAACACTGAGCAGACGAAATTCCCAGTAATTTACTCGTCACACATACTCAGCCAGGGGGATGACGCTGCATTTATGCAGGTCTACCCAGGCTTGCACTCTGGAACAGAGGGTGTGGGAGGCAGGCTTGGTAGAAATCAGAGGGTGGGGTAACCCCTGGTCCCTTCATGGATGTGCTTGAATTCAGAGTTTTGCAGTCTGGTGGGGGCATGAAAGCCATTAGGCTGAGAACATGGTGGGGTGCTGCATGAAATTTTAGGTGTCACAATACAATTAACCCCTGATGCTTTAACATCAGACATTTATTTTCATGATGACTAATATTTTGAGAGGCTGAGAGAAAGCTGCTGAGACATTGTAATAAGTGCTTAGGGACATGAGAAATTAGGAAGGCCACAGTTATGAGTAATGTAATGTGGAAACCGATGCAAATCTACTGCCCCCATTTATTTAGCAGGAGGCAGGAAAAGTGATCTGGGGTCTCTGGCAGCACAAGCCTGTTCGTAAATATTTGGGTGACGTCATGCATTTCCCATGCATTGGTTTAGAGATCTGGGGTCTCTGGCAGCACAAGCGTGTTCATAAATATTTGGGTGACGTCATGCATCCCCCATGCATTGGTTTTCATATCTCCAGTGAGTTGTTGGGCAATTCTGATATTACTGATCCACACGCAGCAGGCAGATTCCTGTACGAAGCTACCTCCACCCCTTGGACTGTCCAGGACTGAATGGTTGTCAAAAATGTGAACTCCTTGATGTCCAGTAAAGGCAACTGAGGGAACTGTGTAGCACTGGTGTAAAAAGTGCAATTTCCTAAGAAGCATGAACTTAAGAGTAATCAAAGCCTGTGGCAACAGTGGAACCCAGCAGGGCATCCACTCGCTGCTTTGTAACTTAAATAGGAATTCTTCGAGGAGCTCAGTCTATCTCTCAACTAAAGCAGCTGCCTGCAGCCTATAGGGGCAGTGGAAGCCCTACTGGACACTTTCACAAGCCTAGCACTGTGTTTTCTGTTGAAATGTTGCCTTGGTCACCATCAGTAGTGTCTGGAACTCTCTGTAGGGGATAAGGAGTGTCCCTGTGAGATCTGTACTGTGTCCTTGGTTAAAAAAAAGGCATCTGTTACCTTGACTGTATTCTGACTATCCATGAGGCAAGAAGTGTCTTTAATTCAATGGGGAGGGAAGGTGGACAATTCTTGGCAATTGCCAAAAATTTGTAAAAATGTACAAATGGGGCTAATTGTTGGCCCAGCATCAGTGCTGAGATGACCACCTCAAGTTTGGCCAGTTGTGCTGAAGCTTTGGTGTCATCCTTTATCAGGGACATCCTAGCTAAGCGAGGTAAGGCAGCAGCATCCCACTGAGCTCCATCACGTCAGATGATGGCATCCATTTAGAAGGTGGACGAACTTCACTGCTGGTCACTCAGTCGATCCCAAGGGGCCTTGGAGATGGGTGACTTCCAGCAACACAGACTGAGGATGAAGGAGGCCAGTGTTTCCTGCAGATGAGAATGGCAGGGGGTCCAGGTTTGACTCCATCCTGATTCAAGGAGGTCTCTGCAGCTGTGCCAAGGCTGTGGGGTGCTGCTTCCCAAGGCCTGATGGCCAGATGGGCATGAAGCCTCAAGGACATGGATGCAGAGCCCTCTGTTTCCAGAGAGTCCAGCATGTGGTCAGCAATCGCTGCACTGATGCTGTACAGAACAGGGTCAAAAGGGGCAGGTTTGTTTTTTACATGAGAAGCCCATGGACTACTTATGGCCACCATATGCAACCCAGATACTTCAGGAGGCATAGGAAGAGGTTGCTAAAGCATCCACAGTGTGTTCTCTGAGGGAATTCATAGCAGCACCTGCTAATTTAAATTCGGACAGATTCCAGACTTGGAGGAGGCTTCATTCAAGGTGGGTCAGTTTGCCAATGACAGCATCAGTGAGATTAAGTAAGATTTGTAAATAAGAAATATATTGTCACCTGAACCCCAAGTAAAGAATTAAAAGGCTGGGCACAGTGGCTCACACCTGTAATCCCAGAACTTTGGGAGGCAGAGGCAAGAGGATCGCTTCACCACAGGAGTTTGAGACCAGCCTGGGTAACATAGCGAGACCTTTTCTCTACAAAAATATAAACAAAATTAGCTGAGTGTCATGGCACACAACTGAAGTCCTAGCTACTTGGAAGGCTGAGATGGGAGAACTGCTTGAGCTCAGGAGGTCGAGGCTGCAGTGAGTGGAAACCATGCCACTTCATGCCAGCCTGGGTGACAGAGCAAGACTGTGCCTCCAAAAAACAAAACACAAATTAAAGAATATTAGGCTTGTATTAACATTGTGGATGCTGAGAGGATGAATAACTATTTTTTGAAAGTCTCAGGAGTAGGGCAGCCCCATATTTACCAAGGAAATTTCAGGAATTGAAGCAAAGTGGCAGGGCCTTGCACTACTGTGTTGGGAAAAGTCCATTCCCTTTGTGTAAGTCTCCTTGTATCTGTGTGTCCTTAGTGTGTAAAATGAATTTTCTCTGAGAATGTCATCAGTATAATGTCACACCTGTGCTCCTGTAGAAAGGTGGTTGCAGTGAGATGTTGTCTGTGAAGATTGCATGCAATGACAAGGCTGCCGAGGCACTCCGTGGGTCGCCTGGTCCCTTCAGAGATGAAGGCAGGCTATGACTGAGACTCTGTTAAAATAGGCACCAGAAGAACATGGTAGCCAAATCTGTAACAACAAAATATTTATCAGTTGCATGAATATATATAGGTTTATTATAAGGAATTGGCTCATGTGGTTATGGAGGCTAAGAAGTCCCAGGACCTGCAGTCAGCAAACTGGAGAACCAGGACTGCCAATGTTGGAGTTCCAGTCCAAACCTAAAGTCCTGAGAACCAGGAAAGCTGATGGCATAAGTTACAGTCCACGTCTGACTTCAAAGGCGAGAGAAGATCTACGTCTCAGCTCTGAAATCATCAAAGAGAGTGAATTCTCTCTTCCTCTACCCTTGTGTTTTATTTGGGTTTTAATGGATTGAATGAGGTCCACTCACACTGGGGATGGCAACTACTTTACTAAGTCTACATATTCAAATGTTCGTCTCATCAAGGAACACCCTCACAGACACATCCACAGTGTTTAACCAAATATCTAGGCAACCCAACTTGGCAAATAAAATTAACCATCATAAGGTGAAAGAGGTATACGATCTGAAGAGAAACCAGGGATGCAGGATGGTTAAACATCTGCAAGTCAATAAATGTGATACACCATATAAATAGAATTAAAAACAAAAATCACATGATCCTCTCAATACATGCAGAAAAAGGATTTGACAAAATACATCATCCCTTTATGCCTAAAACCCTCAGCAAAATTGACATAGAAAAAGCATTTGACAAAATCCAGAATCCCTTTATGATTAAAACCCTTAGCAAAATCAACATCGTAGGGACATACCTTAAGGTAATAAAAGCCATATATGACAAACACACAGCCAACATTATATGGAATGGGGAAAAGTTGAAAGCATTCCCCCTGAGAACTGGAATAAGACAATGATGTCAACTTTCACCACTTCTATTCAACATAGTACTAGAAGTCCTCGCCAGAGCAATCAGATAAGAGAAATAAAGGGCATCCAAATCGGTAAAGAGGAAGTCGAACTGTCACTCTTTGCTGATGACATGATCGTATACCTAGAAAACCCTAAAGACTCATCCCAAAAGCTACTAGAACTGGTAAATGAATTCAGCAAAGTTTCAGGATACAAAACTAATGTACAAAAGTCAGTGGCTCTGCTATACAGTAATAGTGAACAAGCTGAGAATTAAATAAAAAACTCACCCCCTTTTACAATAGTTGCAATAAAAACCTTAGGAATATTATAATTCCTATAATTAAAATAGTATATTCCTATAATTGTCAATTGCATGCAATCTTTGCAGACAAAATCTTAATTATATCCGGAATACTTAACCAAAGAGACAAAAGACCTCTACAAGGAAAACTACAAAACACTGCTGATAGAAATCATAGATGCAAAGAAATGGAAACATATCCCATGCTCACGGATGGGTAAAATCAATATTGTGAAAATACCATACTGCCAAAAGCAATCTACAAACTCAATGCAATCCCCATTAAAGTACCAACATCAGTCTTCACAGAACTACAAAAATTCACACGGAACTAAAAAAGACATAGAAGGGAAATACCTTAAGATAGTAAAAGCCTAGAACCAAAAAAGAGTCTGTATAGCCAAAGCAAGACTAAGCAAAAAGAACAAATCTAGAAGCCGATTTCAAACTATACTAGAAGGCCATAGTCACCAATACAGCATGGTACTGGTATAAAAATAGCCATAAAGATCAATGGAACATAATAGAGAACACAGAAATAAAGCCAAATACTTACAGTCATTTAATATTCAACAAAACAAACAAAAACATAAAGCAGAGAAAGAAAACCCTATTCAACAAATGGTGCTGAGATAAATGGCAAGCCACACATAGAAGAATGAAAGTGGATGCTCATTTTTCACCCTATTCAAAAATCAACTCAAGATGGTTCAAGGACTTAAATCTAATACCTGAAACCATAAAAATTCTAGAAGACGACATTGGAAAAAACCTTCTAGACACTGGCTTAGGCAAAGACTTCATGACCAATAACCCAAAAAGCAAATGCAACTAAAACAAAGATAAATAGATGAGACTTAATTAAACTAAAAGGCTTCTGCACAGTAAGAGAAATAGCAGAGTAAACAGATAACCTACAGAGTGGGAGAAAATCTTCTCAATCTGTACTTCTGATTAAAGGACTAACACCCAGAATCTGCAAGGAACTCAAACAAACCAGGAAGAAAAACATCCCATCAAAAAGTGGGCTATGGACATGAACAGACAATTCTCAAAAGAAGATAAGCAACTAGCCAACAAACATGAAAAAAATGCTCAGCATAACTAATTATCAGGGAAATGCAAATCAAAACCACAATACAATATGATACCCCTTCACTCCTGTAAGAATGGAAATAATCAAAAAATCAAAAACTAATAGATGTTGGCATGGATGTGTTAAAAAGGGAACACTTTTACACTTTTTGGAGGGAATGTGAACTAGTACAACAGCTATGGAAAACAGTGAGGAGATTTCCAAAGAAGTAAAAGCAGATCTAACATTTGATCCAGTAATTCCACTCCTGGATATCTACTCAGAGGAAAATAAGTCATTATATGAAAAAGATACTTTCACACGCATGTTTATAGCAGCACAATATGCAGTTAGAAGAATTTGAAACCAGCCTAAATGCCCATCAATCAGTAAGTGGATAAAGAAAATGTGGTATAAATATTTACCACATGGAATACTACTCAGCCGTAAGATGGAATGAAATAATGCATTCACAGCAACCTGGATGAAACTGGACACCATTATTCTAAGTGAAGCAACTTAGGAATGGAAAACCAAACATTGTATGTTCTCATTCATAAGTGAGACCTAAGCTATGAGGATGCAAAGGCATAAGAATGATACAATGGTCTTTGGGGACTCAGGGAAAGGCTGGGAGTGGTGGGGTGGGTGCAGTGAGGGATAAAACACTACACAATGGGTACAGTGTACACTGCTTGGGTGATGGGTGCACCACAAATCTCAGAAAACGCCACTAAACAACTTATTCCTGTAACCAAAAACCACCTGTTTCCCCAAAACCTATTGAAATAAAAAGAATACCATCATATTCCCCAAAAACCTATTGAAATAAAAAAAAATTAACCACAATATTAGGCATTGGGTACGAGGGCCTGAATGGAAGGGAACACTGCAGTCACATTACAGTAATCCACTGTGAAACACCATTTATTATTTGCAGGTTTAAGAACAGGCCAAATTCTACTGCTAAACATTGAAGCAATGAGGATTATCACCCCTTCACTAATTAATTAGGTCTTATATAATAAGTTTTATTTATTTGAAGTCATGTTGTAATTTATGTTGGATCATATTTGATAATTTATCAAGATGGGGAGGCTAGGCACGATGGCTCACACCTGTAATCCCAGCACTTTGGGAGGCCGAGGCAGGAAGATTGCTTGAGCCCAGAAGTTAGAGACCAGCCTAGGCAACATAGCAAGACTCCACTTCTATATTTTTTTTAATTGGCTGTGCTGGTACATGCCTGTAATCCCAGCTACTTGGAAGGCTAAAATAGGAGGATTGCTTGAGCCCAGTAGTTCAAGGCAGCAGTGAGCTATGAATGTGCCACCGCACTTCATTCAGCCTGGGTAATGGAGCAAGACCCCATCTCTAAAAAAAATGAAAAATTAAAAATAAATCAAATTAAAAAAAAAACAGGAGAGGGAGTTCTGTAAGGTTACATTTGGTGAAGTCAATGTGTAAGTTCAAATGATTTAATATCAATCTGTTACTCATTGGGTCAGAGCATCCAGGTCCCCTATGGACAAAGGCTTCTATGACTATGGGAAATTTAGTCAAGGTAACAAATGTGAGGCATAACTATGTGTCCTCTATTCTATATGCAGTTACTCTGCTAGGATTAGGGGACGCAATGTTTAAATTTAGTGAAATCTCAGGTATAACAAAGTTTGAGCTCCAGTATTGATTAAGTTTTTGAAGGTATGCCAATTGGTAGATTTCAGCAGATGTTAAAATTGATTCGAATATATGCTGGAGAGTTACAAATACCAATCAGCACCCTTTTACCTTTGGACTGTATAAGTTATTTTAGAAAATAGTACATTTCCAATTAGGTCAGATGATAGAATTCCGTTTTAATTTAAATTTTGTTTTTGTGCATATCCAAGTTCCTTCCCTTCCTTCCTTCCCTCCTTCCTTCCATCTTTCCTTCCTTCCTTCCCTCTTTCCTTCCTTCCCTCTTTCCTTTTCTTCCTTCCCTCACTTCCCTCTTTCCTTCCTTCCCTCCCTCCCCCCTTCCTTCCCTCTCTCCTTCCTTCTTTCCTTCCTTCCTTCCTTCCTGCCCTCCTTCTCTCTCTCCTTCCTTCATTCCTTCCTTCCCTCTCTCCTTCCTTCCTTCCATCCCTCCCTCCCTCCCTACTTCCTTCCTTCCCTCCTTTCTTCCCTCTCCTTCCTTCCCTCCTTCCTTTCTTCCCTCTCTCTCATTTTTTTGCCACTGGATATGGCGAAGGTTGTTCTCTTTCCCACTCATATTTATAATTTCTTTCTTTGAAACAGCCCCAAATCAGTATCTTCAGAGTTAAGGTCCTCCTTGTGAGCAGATTGTGTGGTTTAAGAACCCTAGACTTAAGTCAGGTTTGGATTTCTCCCTTCTCTCTGCCTCAGGGGTACCACAGGTGTCTTTTCCTATAACCCTGGGAATTAGATCTTTGTTGTGGCAGAATCATAAGTCACAGAGCGATGCAGCACAACCAGCCCACAATTCAGGGGACAGTGGATTGAAATCATCTTCTGCTACGGCTCCATCTGGTTCTTCCAGGACTTCCCTCCCCCCCTTTTTTTTCCTTTTGGGGTGTTGAAACTTTAGTGGTATATACATTGCCTCATAATCAGTAAAAACTCCCCTTATCCCACATCATGGATTAAAGAGTATATTGCCAGGAGCCCTTCACTCTTCTAGAAGGACTTTATTTGATAGGTCCTTTTTCCATGGTTTAGAATAAAAGAGGTAATAGCTAGAAATATCTCCCTCATAATAGGCTCTACAGCAAATTCTACTTTAAAGGCTGTTGTTGATGTCTTTAACTGTGGCTGCCCTTAATGTTTTTGTCATCCATAGACAATTGTCTCATTTTGGTCCTCTTTAAATGATGGTTTTATAATCAGCTATAAAATTTAACAGATGCCCTTAAATGCAGGATTCTGATTAATAACCCTGGAGATTGTGACATTAGAATAGAGGGAAAACTTTCAAATAGAAGAGTGAATGATGTTTGGGCTACTTTGGACTGTATTTTTATAAATATGTTATTAATATGTGTTCCAAAATTATTGGAAACTTCTATAGAAATGTAATCTCCAGTGTCGGAGATGGGGCCTGCTGGGAGGTGGCTGGTCCATGGGAGCAGTTTCCAGTGGTTCCCAGTGTTGGAGACGGGGCCTGCCGGAAGGTGGCTGGTCCACAGGAGCAGCCTCCGGTGGTTCCCACTGTCGGAGATGGGGCCTGCTGCGAGGTGGCTGGTCCATGGGAGCAGTTTCTAATGGTTAACCATAATCCCCCTAGCGCTGCTCTTGTGATAGAGTTCTCATGAGATCTTGTTGTTTAAAGTGTGTAGGACCTTCCCCCTCTCTCTCTTCCTTCTGCTCTTGCTTTCCCTTCCACCATGATTGTTAAGTGTCCTGAGGCCTCCCCAGAAGCTGAGCAGATGTCAGCATCATGCTTGCTGTACAGGCTGTGGAACTGTGAGCCAATTTTCAGTACTCTTGTTTTCATTTTATTTTATTTTTTAAAATTTTATTTTAAATTCCAGGATAAATGTGCAGAACATGCAGGTTTGTTACGTAGGTAAACGTGCACTATGATGATTTGCTGTACCTATCAACCCACAGCCTAGGTGCCTAGGTATTAAGCCCCACATGCGTTAGCTCTTCCTGATGCTCTTCCTCCCCATCCCCAATGACAGGCCCCAGTGTGTGTTGTTCCCCTCCCTGTGTCCAGGTGTTCTCATTATTCAGCTCCCACTTATGAGTGAGAACATGTGGTGTTTGGTCTTCTGTTCCTGTATTAGTTTGCTAAAGATGATGGTTTCCAGATTCATTCATGTCCCTGCAAAAGACATGATCTCATTCCTTTTTATGGCTGCATAGTACTCCATGGCGTGTATGTACCACATTTTCTTTATCCAGTCTATCACTGATGGGCATTTGGATTGATTCCATGTTTTTGCTAATGAGAATAGTGCTGCTATAAACATATGCGTGCATGCATCTTTATAATAGAATGATTTATAGTCCTTTGGATATATACCCAGTAATGGGATTTCTGGGTCAAATGGTATTTCTGGTTCTAGATCCTTGCAGAATTGCCAAACTGTCTTCCACAATGATTAACATTCCTATCAACAGTGTAAAAGTGTTTATTTCTCCACCGCTTTTCCAGCAACTGTTGTTTCTTGACTTTTTTTTTAAATTATACTTTAAGGTTTAGGTTACATGTGCACAATGTGCAGGTTTGTTACATATGTATACATGTGTCATGTTGGTGTCCTGCACCCATTAACTCGTCACTTAGCATTAGGTATATCGCCTAAAGCAATCCCTCCTCACTCCCCCCACCATAAAACAGTCCCCAGTGAGTGATGTTCCCCTTTCTGTGTCCATGTGTTCTCATTGTTCAATTCCCACCTATGAGTGAGAACATGCGGTATTTGGTTTTTTGTCCTTGTGATAGTTTGCTGAGAATGATGGTTTCCAGTTTCATCCACGTCCCTACAAAGGACATGAACTCTTCATTTTTTTCTCCTGCATAGAATACCATGGTGTATATGTGCCACATTTTCTTAATCCAGTCTATCATTGTTGGACATTTGGGTTGGTTCCAAGTCTTTGCTATTGCGAATACTGCCGCAATAAATATACGTGTGTATGTGTCTTTATAGCAGCATGATTTATAGTCCTTTGGGTATATACCCAGTAATGGAATGGCTGGGTCAAATGGTATTTCTAGTTCTAAATCCCTGACGAATTGCCACACTGACTTCCACAATGGTTGAACACGTTTACAGTCCCACCAACAGTGTAAAAGTTTTCCTGTTTCTCCACATCCTCTCCAGCACCTGTTGTTTCCTGACTTTTTAATGATCGCCATTTTAACCAGTGTGAGACGATATCTCATTGTGGTTTTGATTTGCATTTCTCTGACGGCCAGTGATGATGAGCATTTTTTCATGTGTTTTTTGGCTGCATAAATGTCTTCTTTTGAGAAGTGTCTGTTCATATGCTTTGCCCACTTTTTGATGGGGTTGTTTGTTTTTTTCTTGTAAATTTGTTTGAGTTCATTGTAGATTCTGGATATTAGTCCTTTGTCAGATGAGCAGGTTGTGAAAATTTTCTCCCATTCTGCAGGTTGCCTGTTCACTCTGATGGTAGTTTCTTTTGCTGTGCAGAAGCTCTTTAGTTTCATTAGATCCCATTTGTCAATTTTGTCTTTTGTTGCCATTGCTTTTGGTGTTTTAGACATGAAGTCCTTGCCCATGCCTATGTCCTGAATGGTAATGCCTAGGTTTTCTTCTAGGGTTTTTATGGTTTTAGGTCTAACATGTAAGTCTTTAATCCATCTTGAATTAATTTTTGTATAAGGTGTAAGGAAGGGATCCAGTTTCAGCTTTCTACATATGGCTAGCCAGTTTTCCTAGCACCATTTATTAAATAGGGAATCCTTTCCCCATTGCTTGTTTTTCTCAGGTTTGTCAAAGATCAGATGGTTGTAGATATGTAGCATTTTTTCTGAGGGCTCTGTTCTGTTCCATTGATCTATATCTCTGTTTGGGTACCAGTACCATGCTGGTTTTGTTACTGTAGCCTTATAGCATAGTTTGAAGTCAGGTAGCGTGATGCCTCCAGCTTTGTTCTTTTGGCTTAGGATTGACTTGGCAATGCGGCCTCTTTTTTGGTTCCATATGAACTTTAAAGTAGTTTTTTCCATTTCTGTGAAGAAAGTCATTGGTATCTTGATGGGGATGGCATTGAATCTATAAATTACCTTGGGCAGTATGGCCATTTTCACGATATTGATTCTGCCTACCCATGAACATGGAATGTTCTTCCGTTTGTTTGCATCCTCTTTTATTTCATTGAGCAATGGTTTGTAGTTCTCCTTGAAGAGGTCCTTCGCCTCCCTTGAAAGTTGGATTCCTAGGTATTTTATTCTTTGAAGTAATTTTGAATGGGAGTTCCCTCATGATTTGGCTGTTTTTCTGTTATTGGTGTATAAGAATGCTTGTGATTTTTGTACATTGATTTTGTATCCTGAGACTTTGCTGAAGTTGCTTTTCAGCTTAAGGAGATTTTGGGCTGAGACAATGGGGTTTTCTAGATATACAATCATGTCGTCTGCAAACAGGGACAATTTGACTTCCTCTTTTCCTAATTGAATACCATTTATTTCCTTCTCCTGCCTAATTGCCCTGGCCAGAACTTCCAACACTATGTTGAATAGGAGTTGTGAGAGAGGGCATCCCAGTCTTGTGTCAGTTTTCAAAGGGAATGCTTCCAGTTTTTGTCCATTTAGTATGATATTGGCTGTGGATTTGTCATAGATAGCTCTTATTATTATGAGATATGTCTCATCAATACCTAATTTATTGAGAGTTTTTAGCATGAAGTTTTGTTGAATTTTGCCAAAGGCCTTTTCTGCATCTATTGAGATAATCATGTGGTTTTTGTCTTTGGTTCTGTTTATATGCTGGATTACATTTATTGATTTGCATATGTTGAACCAGCCTTGCATCTAAGAGATGAAGCCCACTTGATCATGGTGGATAAGCTTTTTGATGTGCTGCTGGATTCGGTTTGCCAGTATTTTATTGAGGATTTTTGCATCAATGTTCATAAAGGATATTGGTCTAAAATTCTCTGTTTTGGTTGTATCTCTGCCAGGCTTTGGTATCACGATGATGCTGGCCTCATAAAATGAGTTAGGGAGGATTCCCTCTTTTTCTATTGATTGGAATAGTTTCAGAAGGAATGGTACCATCTCCTCCTTGTACCTCTGGTAGAATTCAGCTGTGAGTCCATCTGGTCCTGGACTTTTTTTGGATGGTAAGCTATTGATTATTGCCACAATTTCAGAGCCTTTTATTGGTCTGTTCAGAGATTCAACTTCTTTCTGGTTTAGTCTTGGGAGGATGTATGTGTCAAGGAATTTATCCATTTCTTCTAGATTTTCTAGTTTATTTGCATACAGGTGTTTTTAGTATTCTCTGATGGTAGTTTGTATTTCTGTGGGATTGGTCATGATATCCCCTTTATCATTTTTTATTGCGCTTATTTGATTCTTCTCTCTTTTCTTCTTTATTAGTCTTGCTAGTGGTCTATCGATTTTGTTGATCTTTTCAAAATACCAGCTCCTGGATTACTTAATTTTTTGAAGGGTTTTTCATGTCTCTATTTCCTTCAGTTCTTCCCTGATTTTAGTTATTTCTTGCCTTCTGCTAGCTTTTGAATGTGTTTGCTCTTGCTTTTCTAGTTCTTTTAATTGTGATGTTAAGGTGTCAGTTTTGGATCTTTCTTGCTTTCTCTTGTGGGTATTCAGTGCTATAAATTTCCCTCTACACACTGCTTTGAATGTGTCCCAGTGATTCTGTTGTGTTGTGTATTTATTTGTTTAAGGGAGAGTCTTGCTCTGTCGCCCAGGCTGGAGTACAGTGGCTCGATCTCAGTTCACTGCAACCTCCACTTCCCAGGTTCAAGCGATTCTCCTGCCTCAGCCTCCTGATTGGCTGGGATTACAGGCGCCTGCCACCACACCCAGCTAAGTTTTGTATTTTTAGTAGAGATGAGGTTTCACCATGTTGGCCAGGCTTGTCTCAAACTCCTGGCCTCAAGTGATCCACCCGCCTCAGCCTCCCAAAGTGCTGGGATTACAGGTGTGAGCCACCGTGCCCAGCCTGTTTCTTGTATTTGATGATGAAAATCTGTTATTGACAGTAAGAGCATGGGCGCTTAGGTTAACAACAGGGTGTGAGAAAAGCAGCAGTGAAATTTTGGTCCTCAAAACAATTGATGTTCTCATTTTGAAATTCATCTTATTGTTTGTCCGAACTGGCAGCCGTATGTGGGAAATTTCAGTTTTGCATATTTTCAGATTATTTTCATTTTTACATCAGAGATTTTGAACAGATGCTATACAAAAGTATTCATTTATTTATTCAACAAAATTTAGTGCTGGTTAAGTTGCAAGCATTTAGTGAACTTCATGCTGTACACGCCTCAGATACTTTTGTGAATGTAATGGCAACATCAAAAACTGCCCTTATGCACCTTATAAACCTTTAATTTCAAGGCATGTTGATAAGTGAGCATCTGCTATAACATTCTTTCATTGTCATTTAATTAACCATTATTTGGGTATACCTTATATTAAAGCTGATTATTAAAAACTGGAAAATATTTAACACATCTTTATCTTGCCTTTTTCCTTAACATATGTAGATCAAGGGAGTCACTGAGAATCAATTTTAGGGATAGTTATAAAAATCTTAACTTTGCAACTATAACTTTGTCCTCAATGTAATAACTGGAAAAAATAATTTACGTTTCAAAGGCTTTAATCTTTGTATTTTTTTGAAAAGGAGCCTTCACCGAGATTCTTTAAAATTCTTGCTCTGTCCTACAGTAGAGACTGATGGACTCATGGTTATGGTCCTCTAATGGATCTGTACCACCTCAGTTCTCTGATTGTCGCCCTCCTGTGATGAAAATCAAAGTTTATTTTCAATTCATGTCTAGGATGTAGTATGTTCTTGTTGGGAAAAAATGATGTTTCTTGAGAAATAAGTGCCTTCAGTATCACTGTGTGTCAGTTAATAAATATGACTAATATCTACTTTTACCAGTGGCTGCAATTTGATCCTTAAACAGCCATCTTTAAATTATACTTTTTCTTTGGTTAAAGAAAAGTAATTATAATAGACATTAATTATTTTTACATAATTTTCTTATGTGGACACCCATTCTTAGAACTAAAACTTTCAGATGTTTATATTACAAGTACAATTATTATTTATTATTATTAATGTCAGTAGCCAAATGTAATCAACTCTCTTCCTTTTACTTCCTTTTTTGAATCAAAATGTTACACTTTTACAAGCAAGAGCAACAGCTCTATATCTGGATCACTGCAGTGCCTAGAAGTTACAACAGCACAATTTACAAATCCAAATTTCCAGGAAGTCTCTGCATATACCTCTAGTACAAAAGATGCTTCAGAGACTAGAGGGTCAGAGGGCAAAGAGAGGAAATATTCAACTCCCAGTTCAGGTCAAAAGGGAAGAAAGCCTGGTGTTGAAAGAAATCCAAGAATGACTGTATCTGCAACTCGCTCCTTTCTGTAAAGTATTCATGGTGTTTTACTTAAAATATTTGCTCTTATGATGGTCAATAATATTAATAGTTATGCTTTGTAAAAGAATTTATTCTTTACTTATAATTAATGGATCATTCTAAGTTATTATATGTTTAGTTGAATAGTAAGATGATGTGAAAGATTTGTTGCCTGTTAAATGTTTCTGGGATCTGTGCTTTATTTTTATATTATGATCTGTGCTTCCAAAGTTGAGCTGTAATTTTATTGTTTATACAAATGTAGAATAAACCTTAAGTTTGGGGAGAAAAATAAAAGCTAGAGTTTTCCTTTCAGCTATAGAACAGACATTTATTTCTATAAATGTTCTTTATGTAGCTTTCCTAGTTCCACATTTAAAAAGATAAATACGGGATCTACACAGGTCTCAGTAAATAATAGTTCTTGATTAATAATGCATTTATTATAAACCTTGAAGTTTAAAGTAGAATTTTGCTCAGCTCATATCTTTTATGGTCAGGCTGCTATAATTATGTAATACCCAGTTAAATTTCAATTTCAGATAAACAAGGAATAATATTTTATAATACGCATGTCCCAAATACTGCATGGGATATACTTACACTGAAAAAAGTATTTGTTTATCTGAAATTTCAAATAAACTGGGCATGCTATATTTTCTGTGGCAACCTGCTTTATAGTGAACAGAGTAAGTCAGCTGAATTTTAGAATACTTAACCCTAACCTGGTGTTCTAGGTCTTTCCTTTTTGTAAGTATTATTATTATTTGGAGTCAGGGTCATGGTCCATCACTCAGGCTGGAGTGCAGTGGCACAATCACAGTGCCCTGCAGCCTTGAGCTTCTGGGCTCAAGTGATTCTGGCACCTCTGCCTTTGCCTCCCAAGTTGCAAGTACCACAGGTACGTGGGCCCAGCTATTTTTTTTTTTTTTTTTCTCATAGAGACAGGGTCTCAGGCTGGTCTGGAACTCCTGGGCTCAAGCAATCCTCCCACCTCTGCCTTCACTTCCCAAATAGCTGAGACCACAGGCACACGCCACCACCATACCTAGCTTATTTTTTTATTGGTTGGTGCAAGAGTAATTGTGGGTTTTGCCATTGAAAGTAATGGCAAAACCCGCAATTACTCTTTGCACCACCCTAATAATTTTTTGTGGAGACAGGGTCTTGTCCTGTTGTCTAGGCTGTTTTCCAACTCCTGGGCTCGAGTGACCCTCCTGCCTTGGCCTCTAAAAGTTCTGGAATTACAGATGGGAGCCACTGCACCAAGTTACTTTGTATAATTTTTAACATAAACATAAATATTTTGAGAAATATAAATGTTAAAACCATTGAAGGAAAATATATTGTGAAGTATACAATAGAAAAAAAACAATCAAACAAAATACAACAAATACAACATAAAATTATCAAAATTTTCAGAGGAACAAAACAAAATCTAGTTTTACAATATTCAGAATTCAATACCATTATATCAAACATATAAAGAAACATATTCAAAGAAAAATGCAATCAATAGAGACTGACCTCGAGATAACCCAGATGTTGGAATTAGTGTGGATTTTTAAAGTAGTTATTGTAATTCTTACTAAAATCAAAACCCCAAAAACCCATAAAATAAATGAATAGGAAATCACAGCAGAGAAGAAGAAACTACAATAATAACAAAGGCTCAAGTGGAAATTCTAGAAGTGAGAAAGTTTTCAAAATTAAAAAATAAGAATCAGTTGTGCTCAGGAGAAGCTTGGAGGTGGTAAAGAGTCAATGAATCTTAAAATACAATTGAAATGATTCAATCTCAAAAATGTGAGCAGTCATAGGTTGGGGTGAGGGAGCTTTCCTTTGGTTAGTGCTTTTAGGTAGTCTTGGTTTTGATAAGATTACTAGACTGATCCGTCAGGGGCATGCTAAGCCAGAGTTTATCTTGGTTTCGGTAGTGCTTTAAGCAAAACTCATGATATTCTTGTGTACAAGATGGAAGAAGAGTGGACCAGATGACAATATTTAGATGCAGTCATTCTTAACCTCCGTTGCTCTCCCAGTGGTCTAGCTGGGGTTTGTATAAAGTGGAATGGGAGGAATAGGGAAGGAGCCCCCACCTACCCTCTCCCCTTGTCCACTTGTCCTCCTCCACTAGTGGATAAAGTCCACGGGAACAGGTAAGTTATTTTAAATCTGTATTTTCTGTTGTCAAGATCTGTAATCAGTTCTGCTCGCTGGACTGGGGAGAGGAACCAAGGGAACATGAGGGTGAACGGGTTGACATGGAGTCCAGGAACACACTGTGCCTACATGCAGAATGTTTGTGCCAGGAAAGCCAGTCAGCAGGCAGATGGTCTCAGATACCAAGCTAGTGTTGGGAAGCAAGATTCAGTCTCCTGAAGGCGTGTTCTTCATTCTGTGGTTTGTATCACTTGCTTCAGAATGACCTAGAGTACTTGTTAAAATGAAAATTTTGAGCCCAATCCTAGACCTCCTAAGCCTGCATCTCTACGGATGGGTCTCAGTAGTCGATATTGGAAACGTGCAGGTCCCTAGGAGATACTTATGCATATAGATTTGAACTGTTGTGTTTAAGGGTTAGGGAGCTGGCAAAAGCAAGAAATAGGCCAAGCCCTTGGGTGGGAAGGCTCCATAACCTTGGCACTGTTAGCATTCTGTGCGGAAGAGGATTCTGCAACGTGCTTCGCAGCATCCCTAGCCTCTACTCTCTAACACCGTATTCCAGTTGGGAAAACCAAAAATGTTCCCTGGGAGGCAAAATAGTCACCAGTTGGGAACTGGAACCACTGCTTTGAGGGATCAGAGTGGTTACTTTGTTCCCAATCCAAGGATCAGCACACACGATGAGAGAAAGTCCAGCTATTGGAACTGGAGTGCCAAGTTGAAGCTAGACCTACAAAAAAAGCTCCAAAAGCTCCTTTATAGGGCTGATCCCATGCCTCGGCTACTTAGCTTGTACAGATGCCATGTAACTCCAGATTTGGTGACAAAAGGAATTTAAAGGCTAGAACTAGATAGGGTCTTTCAAGTTAGGCCAGCACACAACGTGGACTTTTGACATCATCCAGATGCGTGAACCAACCTCAATCCTGAGGCAGAATTTCCCATGGCATCTGATACACAGCCTGGATTTGGAGCACTCACTGGGATTAGATGCCACGGGAATATTGTGTTTAGGAACTCTGAAAGAGACAGGCTTCAACAAAGCAGACCTAAGCAACACTTAGCGTCTGAACTTCTTTATCAGCTTCCATTCCAGCCCACGAGGACAAAAGCATCACATACATATCCACTGTGGCAAACCTGTCCTCAGTAGGGAGTTTTCCCAGTACTACTCTCCCCTCTTTTCTGAGACTACTTGCTCCTTTGTAATGTTTCTACTTTCTGTCCCACTCCCTAATAGATGATTTGTCCTCTGTCCGGCCCCCTAGTTCTGATATTTGGATTGTCTGCGATCTGGATATTACTTAGGAGGTAGAATCAAAGCCTTGTTGATTGGATTGGGAGTTTTTAACTTCCTATTAAAGGCACTGATTAAGCATCTATTGTATAAAGTAAGTAAGATTATGATCCAGTAAGAAAGATTCCACAAGTAGCGCAGGAAGAATTGGTTTCTACTACACTTCATGCTTCAGGACCAGAAATCCAGAAAAAAATTCTGTGGTATGTTAAGTGTGTACTGTAAGTTTCATTTCCATGTGAAAAATTGTAGTTAGCTAAAAAGTACATCCATGAAGAATCCTGATTAAACTTGTTTAATCCTGGTTAAACTAGGTACTACCTAAATAATAATTTCACAACAACTCAAGAACTCTGTAAAAGCATTTCCTCTGAATATTTTATTCAGAAAAAAAACACAAAAAGATAAGGCAGAAATAAAAATCCCAGTCATTTGCAGTATCTGTCGGCTTTCAATTTGGTTCTCTTTTTTAAACAAAGAAAAATAGTAAAATTAATCTATGTAAAACATGCCATATATATTCAACTGCTACTAAATATAAAAAGTTTTAAAACTGTATGTTCAATTTTGGTTACTGTATTACCACAACACTTATATTAAAATATGTATACTTTCAAATTTGGTTTCTATAAAAAATGGATTCTAATCATATAAAAGTTATTTCCTAATATTCAATAAATGTCGCCTAAGGGCTTTTTCAATCCAAATAGCAATTTTAATTATTCTGGAATTTAAAGGTGCTTTAAATTTCCATTTAATAGGGTGAGAATACTGTATTATTACGAGTGATAAAAGTTACAGGACATAGAGGTTATTCCGTTTTAGAGTCCACATCCTGATTATATTTTATATCCTCTTCTTGATTTCTTACAACTAGATACATACTCATTTGCTCAGCTGGAAAAAATTCTTAACATTATTTACTGACTTTAGGTATGAACTCTACCAGCTAGTTAATAGAAAATATGTAATTAAAGATTGCCTTTATCAAGTAATGTAAAAAAAGCGTAAGAGTAACTTTGCAACATAGGACTTGAATGAGCGGCTGGTGATTATCAAAATCTGGCACTTAATTGATTTATACTTGTACACTCACAGCTAAACGTCTCTACCTGTTTTTCTATGTTGTAAATCTAGGACATTACTTATCTACATAGGAACAATAATAAATATTAATAGTGTGCTATGATAAACATCCTGCACTCTTCCAAATCTTACAATAAAACTGCTTCAATTTCACTTGTTTAGTTTTTATACTTAGTTTTTTAGTTGATCTATGCTTATTTTAAGGAACCTGAACTACTCTAACAGAATCCACATAATTTTTATATTAGTCAAACTGCTTCTTTCTAACTCTGGTTCTAATAGTTATAAAAAGATAATGATAAATTTATGAAGTAGATACAGTCAAACCTGAATTTCTTAAAATATATACTTAGAATCGGTTATAATTTTTAGATATTCTTTCTTGACAGTCTTTTCCCAAACTCATGATGTCCTCTCTAGGTAATATTGCCACACTCATAAATTAGAAATAAAGACAAAAATGTGAAAACTACAGTAATTTAAGAGAATATAGGTTTTCTACATGTCATTTCTATTGGCTACTGAAAATAGTGAAAATAAGTAAATAAATAGCTACCTGTCCAGAAGCGTCTCATGCAAAAATCCATCTTTCTGAGCCTTTTTAAGAATTTTACTATCTTCTTTACTTATTTTAGGTTTGTGGTCTTGGAAGCTCTGAAATTTCTTTCTGCAAAGAAAATGTCTTCATTGAAAAATACCTCAAACTCTGATTATACATATTTACTATTAAATTTGTAAATACTGTTAATTTCTTTTTCACTTATTAAAAAGGTCTAATTGTAGGCCAGGCACAGTGGCTCATGCCAGCAATCCCAGCACTTTGGGAGGCCAAGGCAGGCGGATCACTCGAGGTCAGGAATTCGAGAACAGCCTGGCCAACATGGTGAAACCCCATCTCTACTAAAAATACAAAAATTAGCCGAGTGCAGTGGTGCGCGCCTGTAGTCCCAGCTACTCGGGAGGCTGAGGCAGGAGAATCACATGAACCTGGGAGGCGGAGGATACGATGAGCCAAGATCATGGCACTGCACTCCAGTCTGGGGGACAGAGTGAGACTCTGTCTTGGGGGAGAAAAAAAAAAGTCTAATTGTATTTTTTTTAATAAGCTGGAGATTTTGAACATCAAAGATGACCTTCATAACCTCTCAAGAGGAGGGCCACTCATTGACTGGGTAGCAGAAGGCCCCACTTCTATTAAGGCCTGCTGGCTGGAGTCCCCTGTGTCCTGGCCATAGCACAGCCTTTGACAAACATCAGGCCCATTCTATGAATGAATAGAGAGATTGACTAACCCGAGTGACTACCTTTGGGAGCTGGTAGGATGATTAGGAAAACTGAACCCTCAAGAAGAGAAAAGCATTTAGCTCAGTGCTCTGTCCTAGAGGCTACACTGTGTTGCCTCTTCTTGTCCATCAGTTTTCATTTTTCAGACAGGGTCTTGTTCTGTCACTCAGGCTGGAATGCAGTGGTGATCAGAGCTCACTGCAGCCTTGAACTCCTGGGCTCAATCCTCATGTCTCAGCCTTCCATGTAGCTGGGTCTACAGGCATGCATCACCATTCCCAGGTAATTAGGTAATTTATTTTGAAAGCACTTTGAGAAGCACTTCACTGTCAAATCTGTAGGTCTAAAAGGAAAAGCATACATACACATAATTGATTTCATATTGTTTTACATTTCCTTTGTCTTCTGGAATGTCATCTTTTTTCTTGGTTTCTCTTTCAGCACAGGATCTAATCTAGATATTGGAAAACAGAATCCAATGGGTTATATGTTTATCTTCCACCTTCCACACTTTACGCATCACATAAGAACATTCTAGATGATTTCTTATGCAGAAGAAAAAATTAACTGAGCAACTATATTCAGAAAAAGACAGGTTCTGGCTATGTGTTTTTACTTCATATATATAATCTATATGAGTAAGTGCTATCACATGCTTTCTCCACAGCCCTTGTGTCAGAAACACTACAAACAAAATTATTTCAGGAACATTTTACATATCAGATCCTGCTAAGCAATAAGGAAATCATTAATTTAATTTTGTCCTCCAAGTGAATACACTGGGATCAAATTATCCCTAGTAGACAAGTGTTCATTTGATCAGATTAAAAGCTTAATAGCTATTTTACATTGCACAGAGTATTACCAAAGTATTAAAACTTTTAACATTACACAACTTGTTTTTAATTAATTGGAACCCACCTCTTTTACTAGCTTCTTATATCCTCCTAAGTTTGGATAGATGTTTACTATCACATGTCATAAGTTAATTAATCTGCATTCAACAATTAGGATCGCCCACAGAACAGGCAATTGGCAATGGTAAGGACTCATGTCTCCTAAGGGATCTCTGTGGCCAGAGTCCAGTTCCAGGGCTGCTTAGAAAGTGATGACAAATAACGTGTTTGTGCCAATGACATCTTTGTGACAGTTTTGATTACAGGGGTCCCAGACCTGAAAACATTCCCTGCTAGGGCCTGTAGCACAATGCTACCTTTAGTAAGAGGGGTCTGTGTTCTGGTAGACAAGGCAAGGTCATAAAGGTGAAGGGCTGACAGAGATTAGGACAGTCTGCAATTAAATGGTACAAAAAGAGTCCTAAATAATCACTGTTCAGAGCTCCCAAGTACTTGACTAACCAAAAAGACCCAGAAAACTTTGTATTTCATCTGAAAATTGCTTTAAATCATGAAAAATGCAATCTTTGTGTATCTTTGTATAAGTGCAAAACACTGCACATATATTTGCAATTGTTGCCTTCAGTAACACTTTTGTGATGATATCCAGATGAAAAATAATTTAAACATGATATAATAAAATATAAATAAATAAAATTAAATGTAAGTCACAAACCCATCTGCATTTCCCCAATGACCTGTTTCCTGAGAAGCAATGTGCTATGAAATACTGAGAGTGGCCTCTGGAGTCAGCTGGGCCTGGGTACACATCCTGTCTTACCACACCTTGAAATCACTGTGATTTCCATGAACTGACTGACAAAAACCACAAGGATGTAAGGAGGGTCAGAGGCTGTCTTCCTGTCTGTAAGGCTGAGTTCACATCCACCTCACAGGAGCATTATGGAAATTCAAGACTACAACGCATGTGCTGGATGCATGCAAAGAAAAAATATAACATTTCACTTCTCTAACTGTAAGAAAATACCTACATTTTAGATTGAATTTGTTTGAGCTTTAGATTTGAAATTATCTGAAATCAAGACTATTCTAAAAAGAAAATCAAACATATGACCAGAAATCTAACATGAAACACGTACAGAGAATTGATAGATGCTTTTAAATTACACTGGAAGTAGAGAAAAATGTAACATAAATTTTTATGCTCTAATTATAAGAATGAAGGGCATTTTAGAAAAGGCATTTGCCCCCTCTCTTAGACCCTTCCACTCTGGCCCCCACAATGTCTTACAGAGCAAATCTGGTTCAGACTGGATGCAACCTGTGATTCCCAACAGAGACAAACAAAGTAAGGTTCTGGATGCTCAGTACTGGGATGGAATGCCAAGACACAGAAAAACCATGTGTCAAGAAGGGGGGAGTTATTCTTTAGACGCATCCTGGTATATGTTTATCATTAAAGATCAGTGTCTTTGCTCAGTACTACGATGGAATGCCAAGACACAGAAAAACCATGTGTCAAGAAGGGGGGAGTTATTCTTTAGACACATCCTGGTATATGCATATCATTAAAGATCAGTGGCTTTTGTGAGTCTAAAAAATTAATCCTTAAATGTTTTCGTCAAGTTCCAGTTAACTACCTGATTTATCTAGGTTATATTAACAGTATTATTTGGAATTTCACCTTGATATGAAGATGTCTGTGTAACTTTTACAATGATGTAAAACAAAGAGTAGGATTAGGGAGGGCACAGGCCACTGGTGCAATGGATAACACATCTGACTATGGATGAGGGAATTTAGCCTGGAATAAGGAACTTTTATTTCCAGATTAGTGATGCACATGAATTTTAAAAATAAATAAAAACCATGTTTTATGTGATTCATGTTTCTCCTAATGCAAAGAAGACAGGTACTATTAATAAAAATATTTTTAAAATGTAAGGGCTAAGGCCCCAGAAGTTCTGCTATGATTTTTTATGTTTCATAGAGTGATTATCATCACAGAAGCTCAAGCATTACATAAATACAAACGCGTATACCCCCACCTGGTAATTCTGCTTCTGGAAATTTATCTTCAGGTCCACCCGCACATCTATAAATTGATGCATATTCAATGTTATGTACTGCAGCACTGTTTATAAGAGCAAAAGACTGGAAACAGCCTAAATTTCCATCTACAAAAGACTAAATAAATTAAGGTACATCCCTAAAATGGAATTTTATGTGGCTGTTAAAAAAGAGAGAGAGAGAAAGAGAGGAAAAGCAAGACAAAGAGAAAACTTTCTACATTGAAACTAATAGTAGAAAGCTCTCCAAGATACAATTTTAAGGAAAAAAAAAATCAAAGTCGAGAAGACTATAGAGGAGGTTGTCTTTAGTGTAAAACAGTTGAAAATTATAAATATATTCATATGTTTATAAAGAAACTTTAGGAGGCTATAAAAAAACAAAACAAAGTGAACGAGGAACAGGAGCTGGGACACAGGTGAGTAAGATGCATGTCAGGCATGTATCTTCATCTTTATATGCTTTTATTTAAAAATGTTGGACCACGTGTACATGTTATCTATTTAAAAAATCAGATTTTAAAATACAAGCAAGAAAACAAGAAAATGAAAGCTTAAAAAGAGCATGTGGAACTACCAGAAAAAGATACTAATCCATGGAGATAATGGCAAGGTAGCTCCTAGATGCACTGATTTCTCTAACACATTGTATAAACAAGCCATCAACTATGGGATTTATAATTTAAAATGAGTCTATTTGAAACACCACATTATAAAAAGCTATTAACTAAATCTTTAAAGTGACAGTAAATGATGACTTAACATTTTAAAGAGATACAGTCACATCGCATGTGTGAATGCAGTCATCTGTATAAAATGTCACCATTACCTTGATCATTTCTTCTTCTCCTGCTGTTTTACTTTTTGCTTCTATGTCCCCTGCTTCATTACATCTAATAAAGCAGCTATCTGAGGCCAACAAAGCCATTTTCCCCTAAGTGAAACAAAATAACAAAATAGCCATGAGGATACTTCTTGTGGAAGAAACATTAAGTGTTTAGACTGAATTAATTTTTCCTCCCTGATTTAAAAATCACAGAAAAGAACTTAGAGAAAAACCTG
This sequence comes from Homo sapiens, assembly GCF_000001405.40. Lineage (NCBI taxonomy): Eukaryota > Metazoa > Chordata > Mammalia > Primates > Hominidae > Homo > Homo sapiens. Next base: position 26,349 of record NT_187375.1, read on the forward strand.
AAAAATATAATACAAGAACATATAGAAAAGGAAACCAAAATCACCTTCCATTTTACTATTCAAAGATTACCACAAAAAACATTTGTAATGTGTCTTCCTAGTAGGACTAAATTCTACTTAGATGAGGTAGGATTGCTTCCTTTCTAAAAGATCTACTGAAGATAAAACTGATTTAGTTCTGTTTGGAAAATTAACTTTAAAGACAAGAACATAATTATGAATGCATACTTTATTCAAATATTAACATTTTAAATAAAATTTATTTTCTTCACAATTAGAAAACATGAAAAGGTATATACAATGTCTTTGGTATTTTGAATTTAAGAATCAATGTCTGAAGAACTTTTGTGTGTGAAAATAAATATTCATATACATGTTTAGTTGTTTAATGTTTGATGTATTACACTGCTTTCTATTAAACAAAACTTTAAAAACTGATTTTCTTGTGTATCTAAATCTGGGTTACAAATTTGGTTAGCTTAACTCCCGTAACAAATATAACGTTTATTTATAACTTGTATTTGGTTGATTCTTTTGGAAAACTTGGAATACCATAACATTTAGACAAAATATTTATAAATACAATGATTACAAAATATGTTAACCTTATATCACATCCAGTTAAAAACGTGCTGATAACATGGATTTAATTTCTTAGTCAAGTCTCAAGGGCTGGGTGTTCTCTCATCTGGATGGCTCCTGGTGAGCTCTGGAACATGGCAGTGTGGTCCAAGGTGATTTAAACCTCTGCCACAGATTATTCAGCTGAGTCCTTTTTGAAATAGTTTTAAGACCCTCTTTCATTTAAATTTAAATTTTTGAAACTTAGTGTCCTTCCTAAAAATAAAATGAAATGAACTTTCCTAAAGTGTTGTATTATTAGTACTATCTAAGTCATCATCCTGGCCTTATGAAATAATGGCATTTTCTACTGGTGGAACTTTTATTAGAAACATCTCATCACAACTAGTAGGATCATCTCAAAGGGGTTGCAACACATTAACAGGTAATGAAATCAATGCAGTGTTTCCTGAACGGTATTGGGTGGGCTGGGGGGAAAAGGAATACACACAGACACACAGAGGAAGGGGTAAAAGAGAATAAGAAATATCAAGGTGCATAACACATGGATAAGTAAGTATTGTTAAGTACAATTCTTGCTTCAGTTATGCATATGTGTGTGCTGGGCTGCAATGTAAAAATGCATTTCTCAATGGATTGGGTCAAAACAGTTTTCAAGTCACTGACTTAAGATTTTATCCTAGGGGATGAGGAAATTAGTCTAAGTGATTACCTCTTTCTGGTGGGATGTTTGTTTAATCTGTCATCTTGGAAAACACTGCTGAGTTGCTATTTTCAGTTCATTATTGTATACTACCAAAGCTGCTACTCAAAGGCTGAGCTTATCTTCTATTTGCTTGTTCTGTGTGGTACCCACTGGTCCTTACTGTTTTTGATATAGTTATCTACTTTTTAAAGACAGTTTAGCACTCACATATTTTTTGTTTAATCTTTACTTCTCACACAGAAAAAGGAAATCATGTATTCTGTATCAACAAAGATTTAACAAAACATCCATATACTACAACTGTCTACTTACTAAAATTAAGAATTAGTATATTATCTTTTTTCTTCTTATATTAAAACTATCTTTTCATACATTATTTTAAGCTTATGAACTGAAAGTCTTTTAGAGATAATTTACTTCAATTAACTATTATTATTTATATTTCATACGCAAATTGTCACAAATTGTTCTTAGCTAGCCCCACTGTTCTCTTACAGTCTGTAATGTTTCTGAAAGCATCCATGATTTCTGCTACAAGGAAGATACTTAGGAACTATTCTGTTTTCCTACTCTGTGACCTAAAATTGACTGGTTCTTCAGTGGAAATGAGATCCATATCTAGACACTAATGATACACAGAAATAATTGTGGGCAAAAGTACTAAAGCTATTTTTGTTGCACTATATTTTGAGATCTCTTTAAGGCTCTATGTTCTTACTGATTTATTCCAATTTAATGTATTATACTATTGCATCCTACTTTTTCTTTTTAAATATATTATGATTGACTGTTACAGACTTTCTGTTAAACTGACAGGAAGTTTTTATAAAGAATAACAGCACTTATATTTTGAAAGACTGGTTCCTATTGTTCTCTTGGTTCAACTGCATCTGAACGCCCAACAACAAGTTCATCTGAATTTATACCAAGATATATTTTCCATAGCCAGATTTCAGGGCGGTTCTGTACAGTAATAAGATAGATAAAAGTGAAAAACTGAGAGAAAATTAATTATAGGACATCAAAACAGGACATGTGTATGTGTGTGGGTGTGTACATATCTAAAATTTCAGACTGGACATATTCCAAGTGTTCAAAAGATGTATGTGGCTGAGTGGTGACTCACGCCTGTAATCTCTGTGCTTTGGGAAGGCAATGGGAGAATTGCTTGAGACAAGAAGTTCAAGATCAGCCTGGGCAACATAGTGAGACCCCATCTCTACAAAAAATTTAAAAAGTTAGCTGGGCATGGTGGTGTGCACATGTAATACCAGCTACTTGAGAGGCTGATGCAGGAGGAGTGCTTGAGCCCAGAAATTTGAGGTTATAGTGAACTAGGTTCACATCACTGCCCTCCAGCCTGGTTGACAGATTGAGACTCTGTGCCTTCAAAAAAAAAAAAAAAAAAAAAAAAAAAAAAAACTACATGTGACTAGTTGTTTCCATATTGGACAGTGCAGTTTTAAATTTAGTTTTATATTTTGCTTTTTTAATATAAACATTGTACCTTATATATTACATAACAAATATTTTCAAAATTCATCATTCTTCAATTATACCTCTTTAGTTATAAACTTCAATAATAAATTACTAAAACTTTATGTCATCAAATTGTTTGCCAGAAAATGCTGCTTCCATTTACATTCTTACCTCAAATTAACAGAGTATGTTTTGTATCATGGATTTTTTTTTTAAACATTATGACTCTAAAAAAATACTTGAAAACCTGATATGGAAAAAAACAGTATCCTATTAATTTGCATTTTAGTAGTTAACTAGAATAACAATTGTTTTTCTTTTCCTTTCCTTTTTAGTTTTTAGATTATCTGGTAATGTGCCTTGTCCACTTTTCTATTCAGATCTGATTGTTCGCAATTTTTCTACTGGGGTCTTCAGTGCTATGAATTTTATACAAGATACATATGAAGAGTAAGAACTCACTGCCTATTAAGATTGTTGCAAATATTTTCCTCATTTGTCAGTTAATTTTCTTTATAATCCTTTTTTGTTTATAATTGTAAAGCAGTTTAAAACTATTGAATTTTTTCTTCCTCTGCTTTTCTTCTTTGTCTTTCACCCTACTTATCAGACTTCCAAAGAAAGTATAGAAATAATCATCTTAATGTGATTTTTTTAAAATTATGATTTCTTTTACCTTACCAAGAATCTCCTTGGATGCCAGAATTGACTTTTACTCCTTTATACGTTAATGATTATATAACAGAAATCATTATCATGTCTATGTAACAAATTACTAAAATGTGTAAATTCACTTTCAGTATCTTTTACCCAAAGAATCATTCTATACTTCTGCACAAGGTGAGAATAAAAAAGGCTACTTTATAAAATGACTGTAAAAATAGTGAGTTAAAATATTCTTTTGGTCGTTATGATGCTGTAACATTCTCTGCTGGTTTCAACAATATTCCTTTTTTTAGTCTTCCTGTTTGTCTTTAGACTTCCAAACGTGAGTTTAAATATCATAGCAACAGTGAACCAGGTTTTGTACTATTTGATTTATTTTTTAATCTATCTTACTTGGTGTGTGAAATTATTAATCTTCATTTTTTAACTTACATATCTTTTTTCCAGCCTAGCATTATATATTGGTAGGAAATCCACTAAAAGTAGATCACAAAATCTACTTTTCAAAAAAGCTATTTCGTTTTTTATATCAAAATTACCGTGGGCTTAAGACAGATACTAAAATTTTTAATGAATACAATTAAATTTTTAAAATAACTGGTTACTAATTATATTACAACATAAGCTCAACTGGAATCAGATAATTTGACAGCCATAAACTGCTCTGGAGGACTAGGGCCCTCATCAACTATTGGAGAAAAAACATTTGAAAATAAATTTGACATTTGCTATAAATATAAAGACATTATTTTGCTTTAAAAAATGTGGCTATTTTCTTCTGCAATTAAATGTAAGAATATTCAGATATACTGATGTCACTGTAATACTGTATCTTTGGAATCAAGATCTATTTTACCTTTTTTTAACTACAGTGCTAATTTTATACACTGAGTAAGACGGTGATATAATACTTATTTAATAACTTTTGAGATAGCTTCTCTTTATGTTTTAAAATACAGTCATAAATAAGCACTTATTTAAAAAAGCTAAATGCTTTCATTTATTCAATGGATGGCCTTGCTGACCAAATGATACTGCTTTTTATCTTCTAATTACTTCATATCTCATTAGTGCTTCCTCTAATGGGCTAAAGAAAATGAAGAAACTTCAAATTGTTAAAAGCACCCAGGTTAGTTTTGGTAATAGGTCTGAATAAAAAAGAAATTCAATTATGTTTGACTCAAATAGGTTTTCTTTTTTCTTTCCACTTACTATTTTAATTATTCATATTGTTTTGATTTCCAAAGATACTCTTATGGAACTATATGGAATGTTTTCAAATGCTTATATTAGAAAGAGGGACTTCCCAATGGCTGGTAAATATTAAGGAATTAAAAAATGGAAGAGTCAAATGCAATGGTTCCATTTCTTTGGAAAATGTTTGAGACTAGTTAGAGTTTGGCCTAAGTGAATGAATGTCCTAAAATCTACACTTGTGGCAGGATCTTCCCTTCCAGACACAAACCTTTCTTTGTGTGGAGCTCCCACGGTAAAAAGACCATTGTCAAGTGCATGTATATAGGTTCCCTCATCCATTTTAATGGCTATGGTTCCTGAAATTCCACCAAAGTTTGTTACTGTCCACCAGATTCCTAAAAAATAAAATTGATATTTCAACTTTATATTTTAGTTTTGACACAGAGTTCTTCGTTATTATAACTTAGTTTTAAAAACTTTTTATTTTGCAGTCGTAAGAAATACTACGAAGATCTCACATATCCTTCACTCACTTAGTCTCAATGATGACATCTTGCATAAGTATCATACATTGTTAGAATCAGGAAACCGATATTGATATAATCCATGAAGCTTATTCAGATTTCACCAGTTTTACATGTACTTGTTTGCATGTATGTGCACAGATTCCTGCGACTACCAGCACAGTCAGGATTGGTTTTTAAAATACACAATAGCAACATACAGCCAGGCATGGGGGTGCATGACTGTAATCCCAGCTACTCGGGGAGCTGTGGAAAGGGATCACTTGAGCCCAGGAGTTCAAGGTTATAGTGAGCTATGATCACACCACTGCACTCTAGCCTGAGTGACAGAACAAGGTCCTGTCTCAAAAAAAGACCAAAACAAAACAAAAGGCAACATGTGAGGGTACAAAGTGATATATGAAGAACGGTCTCTCTTATGATAGACCCCAGCCATCTATTCATGCCTGCTTTCCAGAGGCAATGCCTATCATAATGCTTCTTAAAAATGCCTCTACAGGAAGACTTTCTAGCATAGTAATCTTTTTTTTTTTTTTTTTTTTTGAGATGGAGTCTTGCTCTGTCACCCAGGCTGGAGTGCAGTGACGCGGTCTTGGCTCACTGTGACTTCTGCCTCCTGGGTTCAAACAATTCTCTGCCTCATCTTCCCGAGTAGCTGCCATTACAAGAGCCTGCCACCATGCCCGAATAATTTTTTTTTGTATTTTTAGTAGAGACGGTGTTTCACCACATTGGCCAGGCTGGTCTTGAACTCCTGACCCAGTGATCCACTCGCCTCTGCCTCCCAAAGTGCTGGGATTACAGGTGTGAGCCACCGCACCCGGCCAGTAATCTTAACTAAGATTTTAGATTGAAAGCAAAATGAGCAGAATCTATGTCTATATATACTAATTTCCAATTTGCCAATAGAAATGTTAGACTCTAGCAACAATTATTTTAGCAGTTGTTATAAAAGTTTACATCTTAATGTTAAAAAATATCCTCAAACCTTGTCCTAAATTGTACTTTAACTAGAGTAGAAATGAGTCAATCATTAACTGGATATGACATATTAAGGAATTCTTGTTAATTTTACAAGGTCTGATAATGACATAGTATAAGGTATAAAAGTAAAGAACAAAACAGGTGATGAGAGAAAGACATACCACGTCAAGAAATGTACATTTATGTACTTATGGGTAAAATGACGTAGTATGTGTGATTTTACTTAAAATTTTCTTGGAAAAAACGTGTGTGGGGGTGTGTATGTAACTGAAACGAGATTGGCAAAATATTGATAATTAATGCTGGGGCCTGGGCACATGGGGGACTCATTATATTCTTCTATGTATGAATTAGTTTGGATATTTCCATAATAAAAAGGTTTTAAAGATTCAGTTAATTCCACTGCACAAAATTTTCTATTCAACTAAACATTTCATGCTTTTCATAATCAATTTTAAAATACATAAAATTTCAGCTAAAATGAAGTTGGACCGTTATCTAACACCAAACACAAAAAGTAACTTAAAATAGACCAAAGACCTAAATGTAAGAGCTAAAGTTACAAAACTTTCAGAAGAAAATGGGAAAAGCTTCACGACAATGAATTTGGCAATGATTTCTTATATAGAACATCAAAGGCACAGGCAACAAAAGAAAACACAGACAAATTGGACTTCATCAGAATTAAAAACTTTTGTGCATCAAGAATCACTGTCAACAGAGTAAAAGGCAACCCAGATAATGGAGAAAATATTTGTAAACTACATACAATATAAGGAATTAATATCCAGACTATATAGAGAACTCCAAAAAGACAAATACCACAATTCAAAACTGGGCAAAGGATATACATGGACATTGCTCCAAAGATGATATACAAATGGTCAATAAGCACTCGAAAAGATGCTCAATATCACTAGTCACTAGGGAAATATAAATCAAAACCATAATGCAATACCACTTCACACCCATTAGAATGCTATTATCAAAACAAACAAAAAACAGAAAACAAGAAAACCAGAAAAACAAATGTTGGGCAGGATGCAGAGAAACTGAAACCCTGTGCAATGCTGGTGGGAAGGTAAAATGGTGCATATATTTAAATGCCACTGAAGTGTACATGTAAAAATAGAAAAACTGGCAAATTCTCCTTGAAGAGGTCCTTCTTCAAGGAGAACTACAAACCACTGCTCAAGGAAATAAAAGAGGATACAAACAAATGGAAGAACATTCCATGCTCATGGGTAGGAAGAATCAATATCGTGAAAATGGCCATACTGCCCAAGGTAATTTACAGATTCAATGCCATCACCATCAAGCTGCCAATGACTTTCTTCACAGAATTGGAAAAAACTACTTTAAAGTTCATGTGGAACCAAAAAAGATCCCACATCGCCAAGTCAATCCTGATCCAAAAGAACAAAGCTGGAGGCATCACACTACCTGACTTCAAACTATACTACAAGGCTACAGTAACAAAAACAGCATGGTACTGGTACCAAAACAGAGATATAGATCAATGGAACAGAACAGAGCCCTCAGAAATAATGCCACACATCTACAACTATCTGATCTTTGACAAACCTGAGAAAAACAAGCAATAGGGAAAGGATTCCTTATTTAATAAATGGTGCTGGGAAAACTGGCTAGCCATATGTAGAAAGCTGAAAATGGATCCCTTCCTTATGCCTTATACAAAAATCAATTCAAGATGGATTAAAGACTTAAACGTTAGACCTAAAACCATAAAAACCCTAGAAGAAAACCTAGGCATTACCATTCAGGACATAGGCATGGGCAAGGACTTCATGTCTAAAACACCAAAAGCAATGGCAACAAAAAGCCAAAATTGACAAATGGGATCTAATTAAACTAAAGAGCTTCTGCACAGCAAAAGAAACTACCATCAGAGTGAACAGGCTACCTACAAAATGGGAGAAAATTTTCAAAACCTACACATCTGACAAAGGGCTAATATCCAGAATCTACAGTGAACTCAAGCAAATTTATAAGAAAAAAACAAACAACCCCATCAAAAAGTGGGCAAAGGACATGAACAGACACTTCTCAAAAGAAGACATTTATACAGCCAAAAAACACATGAAAAAATGCTCACCATCACTGGCCATCAGATAAATGAAAATCAAAACCACAATGAGATACCATGTCAAACCAGTTAGAATGGCGATCATTAAAAAGTCAGGAAACAGCAGGTGCTGGAGAGGATGTGGAGAAATAGGAACACTTTTACACTGTTGGTGGGACTGTAAACTAGTTCAACCATTGTGGAAGTCAGTGTGGTGATTCCTCAGGGATCTAGAACTAGAAATACCATTTGACCCAGCCATCCCATTACTGCGTATATACCCAAAGGACCATAAATCATGCTGCTATAAAGACACATGCACACGTATGTTTATTGTGGCATTATTCACAATAGCAAAGACTTGGAACCAGCCCAAATGTCCAACAATGATAGACTGGATTAAGAAAATGTGGCACACATACACCATGGAATACTATGCAGCCACAAAAAATGATGAGCTCATGTCCTTTGTAGGGACAGGGATGAAATTGGAAATCATCATTCTTAGTAAACTATTGCAAGAACAAAAAACCAAACACCGCATATTCTCACTCATAGGTGGGAATTGAACAATGAGAACACATGGACACAGGAAGGGGAACATCACATTCTGGGGATGGTTGTGGGGTGGGAGGAGGGGGGAGGGATAGCATTGGGAGATATACCTAATGCTAGATGACGAGTTAGTGGGTGCAGCGCACCAGCATGGCACATATGTAAGTAACCTGCACATTGTGCACTTGTACCCTAAAACTTAAAGTATAATAATAATAAAGAAAAAAAAAGAAAAACTGGCAAATTCTATATTCTGTATATTTTACCTCCACACACACACAAAAACAATGGAGAAAAGGAAAATTAATCAAAATTAAAATTTCAGCTAAAGATGATTAGAAAGCAATAAAACTAATGACAATTTAGATGATTGAGTTATAGCTACAATTGTTTTCAGGAAAAGAAATAATGCTTTATTCAGAATCATTATGAACAGTGTTATGATTAGCAAGCCTTTCTTATAAATGTAACAGTTAATAATTTTAAATTAGTTTTATTTTGTATGTTCTATGCCACGTTCACCAAGTACACTTAATATTAAATAAAATAATTTAAATATAATATCTCATTAATGTTTTGCAAATGAAGAAGAAATTTCTGGCAGACAAGCTCCTCAAAATTTTCACACTCTGTCCAAGTCGGGAAATGATACAATAACATTACTTATAATATTGTCAACTGAAAAAGAAATTACTTTGAGCAGATGCCAGTATTTTTTCTCAATGGGATTTCAAAGAATAAGAAAGCTAAACACAGTATCATCAAGAATTAAATGTGAGCATTCTGCCTACTTTCTGCAAGTGGCCTACAGTCAACCTTTGGAGGTATGCTTATATGTTTAGCGACTAAAGTAACATAACATAATACTTAACGGTGCCACTCGGGGGTTTTAGCTGTGAAAAAGCAGTGGATCCTAAGAACAGTGGGCACTGAAGTTGCCTGTCTCTACGTCAGGTGACAGCTCAAGCTGTATATATGCTGCAGACACCCAAGCTGAATTTAAGAGAATCCACTCAAAAGCATTACTTGCTATTTAGACACATGCTTAAAGTTATTTCCTTTTAAACCTTAGGCAGATGGTGAAATATTCCCGCTGTGTTGTCTCACAATGCATAACAAAGCTTTTCACATATTTTCACATAGTTGAGAATGTTTCCATATGTCTGACATGCCTGTAATCCAGCACTTTGAGAGGTGGAAGCAGGAGAATTATTTAAGCCCAAGAGTTCAAAATCAGCCTAGGCAACAAAAGGAGACCCTCATCTCTACAAAAAAAATTAAGAAATTAGCTGGGTATGGTGGTACAAGCCTGTGGTCCCAGCTACTCGGGAGTCCAAGGTGAGAGGACTGCTTGAGCCTACGAGGTCGAGGGTGCACTGAGCCATGATCATGTCACTGCACTCCAGCCTGAGCAACAAAGCAGAGCCTGTCTCAAAAAAAAAAAAAAAAACTGGCCCGATGCACCAGTGTCATGGCTGATAAGATACTACCAGGGCACCCTCATTCTAGCATCAAGGCTGTGTGACAGCTCACCTCACATTCTTACTAACCCAGTGCTTCTGTGCTAAGGACCCCCTTAAATCTCTGCCTTCATTATGTGCTTGGCACAAAGGAATGATATATCTTAGATTTGGAAATGGAATTTTCTTCCCCAATCTTACTGTAGTCTAAGTAACCTTCACAGACCTTCTATTAACCCATAGCTGACTTAACTTTAGTTCCTGGGTAAATCAAATCTGTGTTTTGCAAACTATGATGTTGTAAGTTCAATAACTTCTGAATCTAGCAGAGCTCAGTGAAAATCCTTGCTTACAGACAGGCTCATTTTTATTAATGTCACACATGGTACTCTCCATGTGAAAGACAGAGTTTCTTTCATCCTATTTACCAATCCCTTCAGATCCTTGTTAGCAACCAACAGAACAGCTTTAAAAAATTAAAAGATTTTCTCTTTCCCTTCACAAATAGGCACATGCTTACATTTACGGCAAGTTTAGAAAATCCACAATGCAAAAGAAGGTGGAAGGACAAAGAGAAAAACATGCAGAAGGACTTCCTCTTCCAGCCAAGATGGACTTGCCCTCCTACCATGACCAACGAGAGAACTGAAACTGGATAGAATATTTGAGAAAACTGTTTTCGGGGATTGGAACACAGGCAGAACAGGACTGTGATATCTGAGAACAGGAAAACACAGGAGGCAAATCTCACACACACTTCTGCTTTCTGCCCAATGGCAGTTTCTTGACCACGCAGAGAGGTAGAGACCTCCAAAAATGAGGCAATGTCACTGTCACTAAGCTGAGAGTCTTGCAGTGCTAATATGTTTGGAGTTTATAGAATAAGGTACTGGAGAAGAGGGAACTACATACAGGTGAGGCCTTGGAAGAGTATGCAAAAGTTCTCTGCAGGTCTGGGGCCAAGGGCTGGGGGGAGTGCATACAGTAAGCAGGCTCCACAAGGCCTCTGCAGAGTGGTTGGCACTTCTGAGGGCTGACTGGAGATGCCAGAGATCACACAAATTTGGGACACAGCAGAGTGGACAGAACTCACCAAGTATACTTAGAACATGTGGCTGAGGCCCGTGAGGATGAGCCTTTCCTAGAGTAAGAGTCACTGTCTAAGTCTACAGGCAAAAACCTAATAAATAACCACAAACTAACAAAGTCCCAGGCTTGACAGGAGAAAAAGGGTGGTCAAATAATTTAACTAGGCATCAAGACATTTAACAGAAATAAAGGTTAAAATGTTATGAAAATGAAAGACTGAATTTATAAGGAAGACTTAACAATCCTAAATGCGTACACATGACAGCTTCAAAATACTTTAAGCAAAAACTGCTCAAGTAGACAGATCTAGAATTACAGCTGGAGATTCTAACATAACTCTCATTACATTGTAGGATGAATAAAAAATCAGTAAGGACACAGATGTGCATAGTCACAAGCTCCACCAGTTGATCTAACTGACATCTAAAAAACACTGAACCGCCAGGCGCCATGGCTCACGCCCGTAATCCCAGCACTTTGGAAGGCCGAGGTGGGTGGGTCGCCTGAGGTCAGGAGTTTGAGACCAGCTTGGCCAACGTGGTGAAACCCCGCCTCTATTAAAAATATTTAAAAAATTAGCCAGGGGTGGTGGCAGGTGCCTGTAATTCCAGCTCCTCTGGAGGCTGAGGCAGGAGACTCACTTGAACCTGGGAGGCGGAGGCTGCAGTGAGCCGAGATTGTGCCACTGCACTCCAGCCTGCTGGGCAACAGAGGGAGACTTCATCTCCAAAAAACAAACAAACAAACAAACAAAAAAAAACAAAATAACCCTGAACCAACATCTGCAGAATACACATTCTTTTCAAGTGTACGTGGAAATTCACTAAGAAAGTATGTTCTCCAACTATACTATAAATGAATTAGAAATCAGCAACAATAACATACCTATAATATCTCTATGTAGTAGAAATTAAAAACGATACACTTTTAAATAACTCAAGTGTCCATGAAAAGAAAAATCACAAGGAAAACTACATAATATTTTGAATGGAATGAAAATGAAAACAAAATGTGTTGACCATAACTAAAACTAAAGTGGAATGAAGAGATCTAACTCTCTTCTTGAGAAGCAATAAAACAAGAGCAAAGTAAACTGAAAATAAGTTAAAGGGAAGAAAAAAAAAAGACTGAAAATAAATGAAATAAAAAATGAAAAAAAGAGAAAATAAGTAATACTGAAACAGGCTTGTCAAATCCTGAGGGCTGCATGTGGCCCAGGCCAGCTTTGAATGCAGCCCAACACAAATTCATAAACTTTCTTGAAACATTATGAGATTTTTTTGCTTTTTTTTTTGGCTCATCAGCTTATCGTTAGTGTATTCTATGTGTGGCCCAAGACAATTCTTCTCCTTCGATTGTGGTCCAGGGAAGCTA